>NW_021160003.1:0-165419 GCF_000001405.40 Homo sapiens
GATCATTTGAGATCAGGAGTTCAAGACCAGCCTGACCAACATGGTGAAACCCTATCTCTACTAAAAATACAAAAAATAGCTGTGTGTGGTCGTGTATACCTGTAATTTCAGCTACTCAAGAGATTGAAGCATGAGAATCTCTTGAATTCAGGAAGTAGAGGTGGCAGTGAGCCAAGATCACAACACTGCCCTCCAGCCTGGGCAACAAAGCGAGACTCTGTCTCAAAAAAAACAAGAAAAAAAGTAAAAGCTCTTCATCCCTATTCATTCAAGTCTATCCTGTAGAGGTAAATACTGTTAACAATTTGGTAGGCTTCCTTCCTGATCTTTTTCTCATTCATATTAATCTGTTGTATTCAGTTAACTAGTTAGTAAAAACAGAGTGCTATACTTATTGTAACCCCCTCTTTCCTTTTAACAGTTTAGCATGGGCATCTTTTCATGTACATATGTTTATCTCATTCCTTTTTTTTTTCCAGCCCAATATTCCCATAGAAATTAAATTTCATTCTTATTAAAGGTTTCACCCTATTTCCTGGTGTGGATATACCCTAATTATTTAAGTCAGTCTGAATGGGAGTTGAATTTTAGGGTTGTATTTCAAATAATCATTTGGAAAATTATTTTAGCTACAGTTTATTTTAGCTACATTAATTTTGATTCTTTTTTTTGGTTTTTTTTTTTAAGGTATACTTTAAGTTTTAGGGTACATGTATACAACGTGCAGGTTAGTTACATATGTATACATGTGCCATGTTGGTGTGCTGCACCCATTAAGTCGTCATTTAACATTAGGTATATCTCCTAATGCTATCCTTCCCCCCTCCCCCCACCCCACAACAGGCCCCGGTGTGTGACGTTCCCCTTCCTGTGTCCATGTGTTCTCATTGTTCAATTCCCACCTATGAGTGAGAACATGCGGTGTTTGATTTTTTGTCCTTGCGATAGTTTGCTGAGAATGATGGTTTCCAGCTTCATCCATGTCCCTACAAAGGACATGAACTCATCATTTTTTATGGCTGCATAGTATTCCATGGTGTATATATGCCACATTTTCTTAATCCAGTCTATCATTGTTGGACATTTGGCTAGGTTCCAAGTCTTTGCTATTGTGAATAGTGCCGCAATAAACATACGTGTGCACGTGTCTTTATAGCAGCATGATTTATAATCCTTTGGGTATATACCCAGTAATGGGATGGCTGGGTCAAATGGTATTTCTAGTTCTAGATCCCTGAGGAATCGCCACACTGACTTCCACAATGGTTGAACTAGTTTACAGTCCCACCAACAGTGTAAAAGTGTTCCTATTTCTCCACATCCTCTCCAGCATCTGTTGTTTCCCGACTTTTTAATGATCGCCATTCTAACTGGTGTGAGATGGTATCTCATTGTGGTTTTGATTTGCATTTCTCTGTTGGCCAGTGATGATGAGTATTTTTTCATGTGTCTTTTGGTTGCATAAATGTCTTCTTTTGAGAAGTGTCTGTTCATATCCTTCGCCCACTGGTTGATGGGGTTGTTTGTTTTTTTCTTGTAAATTTGTTTGAGTTCATTGTAGATTCTGGATATTAGCCCTTTGTCAGATGAGTAGATTGCAAAAATTTTCTCCCATTCTCTAGGTTGCCTGTTCACTCTGATGGTACTTTCTTTTGCTGTGCAGAAACTCTTTAGTTTAATTAGATCCCATTTGTCAATTTTGGCTTTTGTTGCCATTGCTTTTGGTGATTTAGACATGAAGCATTTGACCATGCCTATGTCCTGAATGGTATTGCCTAGGTTTTCTTCTAGGGTTTTAATGGTTTGAGGTCCAATGTTTAAGTCTTTAATCCATCTTGAATTAATTTTTGTACAAGGTATAAGGAAGGGATCCAGTTTCAGCTTTCTATATATGGCTAGCCAGTTTTCCCAGCACCATTTATTAAATAGGGAATCCTTTCCCCATTTCTTGTTTTTGTCAGGTTTGTCAAAGTCAGATGGTTGTAGATATGTGGCATTATTTCTGAGGGCTCTGTTCTGTTCCATTGGTCTATATCTCTGTTTTGGTACCAGTACCATGCTGTTTTGGTTACTGTAGCCTTGTAGCATAGTTTGAAGTCAGGTAGCGTGATGCCTCCAGCTTTGTTCTTTTGGCTTAGGATTGACTTGGCAATGCGGGTTCTTTTTTGGTCCCATAGAACTTTAAAGTAGTTGTTTCCAATTCTGTGAAGAAAGTCATTGTTAGCTTGATGGGGATGGCATTGAATCTATAAATTACCTTGGGCAGTATGGCCATTTTCACGATATTGATTCTTCCTACCCATGAGCATGGAATGTTCTTCCATTTTGGATAATAAACTCAAGATAATCTTTAAAGGCAGAAATAATACTAAAAGATAAGCTATTATGGAAGGAAGGAAGATAGATGCAAGTTGGTTTGGGTTGTCTATTTTTGTTTGAGGCCCTTTCATCATACCTACTGTCATCCTTATTGCAAGTACGAGAAGAAAGAATTCCATATAAGATGAGAAGGTGTAGACAGCTCCACTCAGGCTGATGCTTTGCACTAGGTTGGGAAATGTGTCTACTTTTGCTTGGGAGGGATCCAGAGCAGGGAGGCAATTACCAGGAGTAGGACTGAGAAATCACTTGTTCTTTCAGAGGCCACTGGCCACCAGGTACCATATGGCTGCTTCCATGTTGTGAATTCCCTGAACACCAGGCACACTGGCATTCAAATGTCAGAACAGAACAATTTTCAAAACCAAGCAAATTATATTTGGATTACCCATAATATCAGTTCCTTCTGTTAGCTTTGATGATTCAGAGAGAATATATGTGTTAAATTAACAAGTGTATTAAGAACTTTTGACATCTGTAAACTTTTCCTTAGCTGGTACACCAAATGCCTCTATAATTCTTGCCTACAATCTGTGTGTTTAAGTGTGGACAAGAACAAAATGAGATGAATGTGTGTTCTCTGACTAACGAAGCAGCACCTCCATTTACTGTAAGCAGAAGGGGCCAGGGAGTAAAGGAGAAAGGAGGATATTTGGACAATGCACAGGAGGGGTGGGGTGGGGTGGTGAGGGAGAATGGCAGGCTCCTGGATCATCATGATCCAGGATTTTGGTGCTGCTTCTGAGGATGAAATTGTTTGCTCTCTCCATGTCCCAGTTCCAGGTCCCTAGGTTTGAACACCATGTCCACCCCAAGCCTACCAGCTATAGCCAGGGAGATTAGCTAAATAAGAGATTCAAGGGGGGCAAGGGGAGGGAGAACATTAGGACAAATACCTAATGCATGCTGGGCTTGAAACCTACATGAGAGGTTGATAGGTACAGCAAACCACCATGGCACATGTATACCTATGTAACAAACCTGCACGTTCTGCACATGTATCCCAGAACTTAAAGTAAAATTTTTAAAAAAAGAGAGAGAGATTCAGGCTGAGAAGCAACAACTTAAGAGTTGTTGAGGACAGAGTTTTGTGCCACCAGAAGGGAGAGAAAAACCTGGAACATGGCAGAAAGGCATCATGAAGAGAAGTTTGTGCAGGGGTTTCTAACATGTCTGGGTAGCATGGTGACTCTGCATGCTTAGTTCTCTATAAGCATAACCAAGCTGTCACAACAGTTTCCTTCTATCATCTCACCAAATCTCTTCTGAACTTCCTTTAGTTCTTCTAATGGATTTTTGCCCAGAAAAATAAGATACATCTCACTTAGATCCTAGTGTAATCAGCCTCCCATGAAAAACCCAACAAAACAATTTCTCAAAGCTTGCTCTCTGCTGTGTTAGATAAGCATTTAGATCCCATCTACAAGCATCCTCTTCTCCCCATCCTTTTGTGTAAGTACAGCTGCAGCTAGTTGTCCAGTGTGTAGGCAAAAACCACCTGACTCATCTACTCATACCTTAATGGCAGCTGTGTCCCAGGCTTCAAACTGTACTGGTTACTCAGATCTTCTAAATTGGGCATTCCTAATTCTAGAATCAGCAGCAAAGGGACCTAGGGACAGGTCATATTATTGAAATTTTATTTTCTTAATTTAGAGTCAAGTCATCTTGGTTGCAGTTATGAGAACACAGAATCCACAGTCTGCTAAGTTATATTTTCTGAAGAGCCCTATCAATGACCTTAAAAAGACAACAGCACCATCTGTTATGCACCACCCACAATATCACGTATGGAGGTTCATCTTAGAACAAAGATGAATCCTCAGTGAATACAGCAAGAAATAAACTGACTCAAGTTCCAGATTAGCCAGGCAACTGCTAGGTGTTTTGAAAGCAGAGAAGCCAAATCAGAGATATGAAAAGAAATTAGTACTCAGGTAGAGATGCTACAACATGGCTTTATAACAGAAATAACATATAGTGGGCTTTTTGTTGTTGTTGTTTCCCCAGATCCATTCCTTTTTGTAGCACTGGTATCCTCATTTTCCTCTGAGCCGTTCCTTGCCCACTCCCATCTCATATTTTTCAGGTAAAGTTGATTTCACTCACAGAATACATGAGTAGAACATGTGTTCTGGTCCAGCTTAGTTACCTCATTCTATCCTGTTTGACTCAGTGCAGTTTAAAAATGGGCACATGTCTCAAAGTAGGTCTGCCAGAGAAGGCACAACCTGAAGACTTAAGCTTTCAGAAAAACAAACTCTCAACTGCTAGACAGGAATGAGATTCTGTAAATGTGAAGCTTCCTTGGTGTCTCTGGGCAGAATTGAGAACTGAAGTAGCTCTGAGGAAACAGCCAAGAGGTGGATAACATTTTTTGAGCTGGGAATCAATTCATACTTAAAAAGAAGCCTAGATTTTTCAGTTTGCATGGAGCCAAAAAAAAAAAAAAATTCCCTTTAGCATAAGCAGATCCACCAATGGCAAGACGGGAAGTCCTACCTACATTGGCATTTTCCAATTTAGGAAATATTAGCTGAAACACCTTTCTCTACCCAAGCTTCTCTGCCTTGTTGAGAAGTTGAGAAGCAACAACTTAAGAGTTCTTGAGGACGGAGTTTGCTGCCACCAGAAGGCAGAGAAAAACCTGGAACATGGCAGAAAGGCATCATGAAGAGAAGTTTGTGCAGGGGTTTCTACCACGTCTGGGTAGGGTGGTCCTTTCTTAGTCTGGGGTTTCTACCATGTCTGGGTAGGGTGTTCCTTTCAAGTCCTTTCTTACACAGCCAATAACCTTCCAGCATCTCCCTGAATTAATCCGTGATTGTCCTGGACCACTCAGTGAAGCACTTCAGTATAATCAGCCTTTTTATAGAGGTCTTCCAAGTTAAACTGAAATCTGGATGTGTATCTCAATTACAAATAACATGCCTGTGTGCTTGAAACAGACACTGCAATGACTAAAAGGTAAATCCATGAAATAGGGGCCTATTTATTACCTACAGAAGCACCATTTAAGACACAATTGAAGTTTCAACTTGATTCTTTCTAACTTTCGATCCCCCTTTGGTATGATAATTATACATTTTCTAGTAAAATTATTTCTGCCATGTCATCATAACAGATTGGATTAAAAGACAAATAAATGAATTATATGCTAACCTCATAGGTAGCCTGGCAGAAAATCCACCCAAAAGTGTTATTTTATACCTAGTGGCAAAAAGTTGACCCAGTTGAATTTATTATTTGGGAAAACATAAATGTCATGTTAACATAAAAGGCTATTGATTTGAGGCAGTACTCTCGTGCAATGCTAAATTACTTTCCTAGTTCTGCCTGTGGTCAGTCTCAAAGGAAGTGAAGCTTTCAGTCTGTACATCTTCCAAGCCTACCACTTGTCTCCATCTGTGCTTATAAAAATCTTGCACTCATGAATATTATTTATATGAGTATAATATTAAAGTCTGATCAGGAAAAAAGAAACCATCTGAGGTATTTAACAGAAAAAAATACAAAGGTTTGGTTTAAAATACATTAGGGAATAGAAAAGATGAAAAAGGAATGTTAAGGTAACACTGAGGTAGCAGTTGCAGCAAACAGCTACAATGGGAAGAGATGGGGCAGCGATGAGATGGGATAACAAAGAGAAGAGTTTGGAGATATTGGAATGTAGAAGCTTGAGGAAGAGACTGTGTGGAGCCTGGAAACAGTGTCCTGTGGCCACGGTGTAGAGCCCTTGCCAGGCTAATGCTGGTAGAAACTGCAAGCACTTCGGGAAGGGCGGGTCTCTCCTCCCTTCTTCTTGTCTTCCAGTCTCCTTCAAGGGGACACAAACCAAAAAGCTGTTCTAGAAGATTTGGAGAAATTAAGGGTTGCTATATGACAAGTTACTGAAAGTTAAATATTAGATATCCTTTTAAAAAACGTCTCCTCAGTCATTTCATCCATGTGAAAATCCTCTTTGGCCTTATTTTGAGGGGGCTCTTCCAATATGCTCCTGATCCTTTGATTTTGAACTTCCACACATCTTCCCCCTTTTCTTCATTTCCTGATCCCTTTACTGTTTCTCTCCTGGGATTCCCCTAATGATTCAAAATTATTATTTTCTATAATTCAACCCTCTTCACCCCCATCCTTTCTCATTTCAGACCATGCCCTTCAGAAGACTTCTTTTTCACACAGATTTCTGTAGAGTTTGTTATTCTGTCCTGAGATTAATTTTGTTCCTTTTTTGGAATAAGAACCAGTTACAGTTAATTATTATTTTTATTATTATTTTATTTTGAATTAATTATAGATTCACATGAAGTTGTAAGAAATAATGCAGATAGGTCCAGTGTAGCCTTACTGTTTTCCCCAGTGGTAACCTCTTGAAAACTTATAGTACAATACAATCAAGATGTTGACATGGATATAGCCAAGATTTAGAACATTTCCATTACCATAAGGATCTCTCTTGTCCTTTTATAGTCACACCCACTCCCCACCCCTACTCCCTGCATCCATGAACCTGTTCTTCATTTTATAATTTTGTCATTTGAAGAATGATATGTAAATAGAATGAAACATTATGCACTCCACTTAGAATTGATTTTTATTCACTCAGAGTGGTTTTAATTTACACTTTAATAGCTAATGATGTTTTATATCGTTCATGTGCTTATTTGCTATCTGTATCTTGGTGAAATGTCTCTTTATGTCTTGTGCCCATGTTCTAATTGAATTGTTTGCTATTTGTTTTATTTGCTGTTGAGTTTTGAGAATTCTTTATTATAAACACTAGTTCTTTGTAGGTTGCAAATATATTTTCCTCTGTAGTTTCTCTTTTCATCTTCTCAGTAGGTTCTTTTGTAGAACAAATTTTAAAAATATTCATGAAGTCCAAATTATCAATTTTTTTCTTTTATGGATCGTGCTTTTGGTGTCAAGTCTATAAACTCTTTGCCTAGTTAGACTTACAAGATTTTTTCTTATGTTTTTATTCTAAAAGCTTGATAGTTACATATTTTATATGTAAGCCCAAGTTCCATTTTGAATTAATGTAGAAGGTGTGAGACAGGCCAAGCTTTATTTTTATTTATTTATTATTTATTGGATGTCCAATTGTTCCAACATCATTTATTGAAAAAGTAATCTTTCCTCCATTAAATTGCTTTTGCACCTTTGTCAAAATATCAGTTGGGTACATTTGTATGGAAATACTTCTGGGTTCTTCTGTTCCATTGATTTATGTGCCTACCCCTCCAGCCCTGACACACTCCATCCATACCACACCATCAGTACCACACACACAGTCTTAATGATTGTACCTAAAAAGCAAGTTTTGAAATTTGGGTAGATGGATTCCTTCCACTTTATTCTTCTTTGTTAAAATAGTTTGAGATATTCTAGCTCATTAGCCTTCCAATATAAATTTTAGAATAGTTTTGTCTATAACCACAAAAAATCTTGGTGGGATTGTGGTAGAAATTACATTAAACCTGATTATCAATTTGGGGAGAACTGAAGTATATACTGTATGGGATTATAATTGATTGTTGTATGTTTATTTTGTATTATGCAACCTTCCTAAACTTGGTTATTATTTCTAGGAGGTTTTGTGTTTTGTTTTTGTAAATTGCTTGGTAATTTCTATGTATACAACCATGCCATTTGCATTTATTTCTTCCTTTTAGATTTGTATGCATTTTCATTTCTTTCCTTGCCTTACTACAATGGCGAGAACTTTTAGCAACATGTTGAATAAGAGTGGTTAGAATGGATATCCTTGCCTTATTCTTGCTTTTAGGGGAAAAATATTCAGTCTTTAATCATGAAGTATAATTATAGATATAAGCTTTGTTGTAGATGTTCTTTCTTAACCAACTACTTTTCTGACATTATTATCTGAATGAGTATTGAGTTAGGTCAAATGCCTTTTCTGCTTTCATTGATGTGATCAGGTAACTGCTCTTCTTTAGCTTATTAATATGGTAATTGCATTAATTGATTTAGAGTACAGAACCAGCCTTGCATTCCTCAAATAACTTTTACTTGGTCATCATATATATATATATATATATATATATATATATATATATATCATAATTCTATTTGCTAGTATTTTGTTAAGTATATTATGAGGATATTGGTTTGTAGATTGTTTTGTACTGTCTGGTTGGTTTTTATATTGGAGCATTATCAGTTTCATAAAATGTACTGAGAAGTATTTCATCCTCTTCTATTTTCTGGAAGACATTGTGTCAAATTGGCTTTAATTCTTCTAGAATTATCTAGTGCAACCATCTGGTCCTGGAGATATTTTAGAGGGAGTTTTAAAATTATAAATCCAATTTCATGAATAGTTATGACTATTGCAATAATCTATTTTGTATTAGGCGAGTGGTGGTAGTTTATGTTTTCAAAGAATTGATCCATTTGGAAAAATTCTGCTGTTAAGCCCGTCTACTGAGTGTTTTACTTATTTTAGGTTTAGATGTAAAATCTCCATTTGGTTCTTCATAATATCTTCTATTACTTCACTGGCAGTTTCTATTGCTTGGCCGGCGCTTTCTATTTTCTTCATTTGTTTCAGGTATGTTTGTAATTGCTCATTGAAGTGTTTTTTTTTTTTTTTTTTTTTATCATGTATGCTTTACAATCTTGTCAGGTAATTCTAACATTTCTGGAATTTTGGTGTTTGTATCTGTTGAATATCTTTTTTATTCACTTTCAGATCTTTCTGGCTTTACATATAATAAGTGACTTGAATTGAAAACTGGATGTTTTCACATTATATACTGAGATTCTGGGACTTATTTAAACCTTCCGTTTTAGCTCGCTTTCTCTGTCATCTTGTTACCTGTAAGTGAAGGTAAAAGTTCAGATTCCCCATTTGGCCTCTTTAACACCTGAGATGGGGACTCCCTGTTATTGCTTTTTGGGGATGGGAATTCCAGCTTTTCATGGGATCTTTCCTGACACTATGGTGGGGGTGGACTCATTACTGCTGGGCAGGGGTTAAAATCTTGACTTTCTACTAGGTTGTCTTTGACACCATCTTGGTGTGAGGTTGGAAGCTCAGCCTCCCCATATGGTATACACTGACACCATAAGGGGAAGTGGAAGACTCACCACTGGCTGGTGGGATGAACGTCTTAGCTTCCTTAGCCCTCTCTGGCACTACCCCAGCAGGGTTGTTGTGGTGCTTCTTTACAGCCTCACAAAGGGAGAAGTCCAGTTTCCCACTTGCGTTAACTGCTATGCGTAGGGGAGAGGACACGGTTCTTTTCAGTGCCATTAGGTTGCAGTAGAGGGGTTATTGTTTGAAAGGTTTTTTTTTCTTTCTTTCTTCTCTGTTGCTCTTTTCCGTTTTTTTTTTTTTGATTTTGTTGTTGTTGTTGTTGTTGTTTTTTGTTTGCCAGAAAAAAAAAAAACCACAAAATTTTGTTGGGGTTTTAAAATTGTTTGTGACCATGCGCATTTCCAGATTGATGGGTTCTTCAACTCCAAGGCAAGTATACGTAAGGCGAAAAGTAAACCCTATAATTCACCACTTTGTAGCTCCTTGGGTCCTGAGGTCCCTAGCCGGTCTGCCTTCTTTTCTCTACCTTTCAGAGTATTACTATATTTATTTTATATAAAATATAAGGTTTCAATTGTACTTAGTGGGATGAATAGGGAAATGTACTTCTACACCATGCTCCCAGAAACAGAAGTCCTTCATTGTTTTTTTAACGTTGCACTTTACTAAATGAGTTTATTTTTAGTACCTGCCAGATAACGAATACTATCCATTTTAGAGTATTTGGCATTGCTTTTTGTGATCAAATGTGTATTTGTCACTCAGTTCCCAATCAAACCTAGCTTAAAATGTATTTCTTTCAGGAACTCCCCCATTAGAGCTCCCATTAAGTTGCTAGTTTTTAATTAGATATTTAGAATGTTGGCTATAGGATGAGTATGGTTCTCATTGGTGTCTCTTCAATTATGAGTGCTGTGAATCCAGAGTTATGGGTAGATAAAATCCATTGATACATACACACACACATTCACATACAAAATAATCCAAAAGTATGTGACCTTCAGGGATCTGCAGCAATTACTTCATTGGGGTAACACACACATACATACACACACACACACACACACACACACACACACACTCCTTGACATCAATATAGAAATAAAGAAGTTGAAACAAACTAAGGCAACATAAAGACTGTTTGATATTTTTCAACTTAAATGACTACAGTTGTTTAGTGGCATACTTTGTCCTTCTCAAATCTTAAAACAGAATTAAAATGATCTTAAAGAGCAGCACAGTTGGCCAGGCATGGTGACTCACGCCTGTAATCTCAGAACTTTGGGAGGCCGAGGAGCTAAGATAGCTTGAGCCCAGGAGTGCGAGAGCAGCCTGGGCAACATGGTGAGACCCCCTCTGTACCAACAAGAGAAAGAAAAAGAAAAGAAAAAAAGAAAAGAAATATCAAAATTAGTTAGGCATGGTGGCTCACGCCTGTATTCCCAGCTACTCAGGAGGCTGAGGTGGGAGGATCACTTGAGCCTGGGAGGCAGAGGCTACAGTGAGCTACGAGCGTGCCACTATACCCCAGCTACACCTCAGCCTGAGTGACATAGCCAGACCTTATCTCAAAAAATCAAAGTTGTCAAATCAATAATCTATAGTTTCACCTTAATAAACTAGAAAAAGAAGAGCAAATTAAATCCAAAAAAGAAATATTAAAGAGAAGAGCAAAAGGGAATAAAATAAATTGAAAAACCAGAAAAACAGTAGAAAAGATCAAACAAAAAATCCAGTGATTTGAGAAGATAAATAATATTGATAAATCTCTAGTCATACTAATAAGAAAAAAATGTAACAGGAAAGAAAGATTGGACATTTACCCAGATAATACAAAAAAAAAAAAAAGAGAGAGAGAGGGAGAAAAGCAGCATAGTTGGTTGGAGTTAATGTCAGATTGAGGCTCTGTTCACAAATTAGCCAGCATAAATTGTGACATGGTCTTAGTCTAATCTGCTGCCTAGTTTACCTTATATGAAGAATGAGAAAGACACTCATCTCTCTTTGCCCAGACACAGTGAGATAATGAGTGAAATAATACAAGTGCTAATTTCCCTCAATATCTGTTACTAAAATGATCATTGGAAATAGGCCTTGTACAGAATATTGCTAGACAACTCCATAGAACAGGAAAGCAAGAGAGTTAATAGGATATGGAAATTGATATGTGTCTGCCTGTGTTTGATGCTAAAAGCAAAAGAGTTCCTGCTTGTCAAAAGGGTTTTATACACACACACACAGAAATAGATATATGTACATATATCTATATCTATATATATGTGTGTGTGTATATATATGACAGAGAGAGAGAGAAAGAAAGAAAGAGAAAGAGATGGAGTCTCACTCTGTTGCCCAGACTAGAGTGTAGTGGTGAAATCTTGGCTCACTGAAACCTCTGCCTCCTGGGATCAACTGATTATCCTGCGAGTAGCTGGGATTACAGGTGCACACCACTACGTCTGGCTAATTTTTGTATTTTTAGTAGAGGCGAGATTTCACCATATTGCCAGGCTTGTCTCAAACTCCTGACCTCAAGTGATTCTCCCTCCTCGGCCTCCCAAAGTGCTGAGATTACAGGCATAAGCCACCACGCCCAGCCCAGAAGGGTTATACATACTTACTTGGTAAATGAAAATTTGCTGAACACTCCTTTGGTTTGATCAGCAGATATTTCTTTAGTACCTGTTTTGCATGTACCTGTCACTGTGATAGCTGTCATGGTGAACCTAGAACTAAAGACAGATTCTTGCTCTTAAAAGAACCTGAAGTTTAGATGTGAAGGTATATTAGACGCTAATTATTTGCTGGATATAGCACCTACCAACACTCTTTATCGTATGTATTTTATATATATAGGATATATATTTTTATAAATATATGAGATATATATATATATATATATATATATATATATGTAACTTCTATTTTCTCGCTTCAAATACAGAAATGGCCTGGTAGCCCAAACTGTCCCAGAGTTTCTCATCCTCTAACCACATGGATAGGTGTGCAACTTACACTCATCGCAGTCTGTCTGGATTTTATCTGGCTGGAGCTAGTTGGAACATTTTCTTTTCTCCCCATTCAGGAAATGTTGAGTTGAGTTTCTCAAAAAATCAAAAGGCACATCCCCTCCTGAGGTAACATGAAATAAGATGGTATGATTTTACTAAAATTACCCCTCTACTTGATTCTCTTCCTCATTGCACCAGAATGACAGAATCTATGTCCTTCATTTTCATTTCCCAAGCACTGAGCATCCAGAAAATACTCAGCAAGTACTTGTGGAATAAAGGAATGAAGAAAGGCATGGACACTTCTGAAATCAAGTATTTTCAATAAGTTACAGCTATCAGGAAAAGGTATGAGATTAACAGGGAAGATTTCAAGTGTTCTCTTTTTAAAAAATTACTGAGGCTTATCAAGACCAACTAAAGAACATGATTAATTACAGGTTGGGTGATGTCACATTTCCAGTTTTCCCCTTCTCTTCTTCCCTTCTGTTTCTCTGTAGGAATAAAACTCAAGGTCAGACCTGAAAGACACAGAGACTCCCTTACCTGTCAGCAGAAAGAAGCTCTCCTCTCAGGATCATCCCTGAAGGGAGTGCCTCATTACCCCTGCCCCTCTCTCTTGCTCCTTGTCTGGGTATTTGGTGATGAGGCTGCTGACAGCCCTGACTTCTTGCCTGTGGCCTGTAACTTTCTCACAAGAAAATGGTGCCCAACCTGACTGTTGATTTACTGGCTGCAACCATATTTCTCCTTATAAATGATCTCTTCATTTTCTGATGGTTTTGCTCACCATGAGCTGTGCCTGATGCAGGAGTTTTGGAAAATCACATTATTGAATGCTTCTCAAATGTAAAAGAAAATCACCCAGGGATCTTGTTAAATTCCAGATTTTGTCCAGTAGGACTAGCATGAACCTGAAATTCTGCATTTCTAAAAATTTCCCAGCTGATGTTGCTGGTTTACTCACCAAACTGTGAAGGAGAAAAGACACGGCCATTTTGAGTCTCAAAATTTTTCATTGTAAACCTGAAACAATAACCTCCTCCCTGATGAATTCTAGGGTAATAAAGAGGATCAAATCATATAATAAAAATAAAAGGCTTTAAGAATTAGCAACTCGCTGTATAAACCTAAGTTTATGCTTAGGTTGCCTGCTCTCATGCTCACCTTAGTTCAGCCATTCTCAACATCAAGAGTTATTCCCACAGTGGAAATGTAAAGATTAAGACTTGACTTGAGGGGCACTGTCTCAAAATAAACTTCCCTGCTGGTATGTGGAGCTGAAATTCTCAATTGTATTATCATTTATAATAGACTAGAAGGAACACTAGGGAGTACCTACAGGAGTGAGTGGATTTCAGACCTGGCTGAAAGTCTAAATTGTCCGATGACTGCTGAAGATAACAGGACGAACCCTGGGCACACCCACAATTCTCACTTAGAGGAATGTCCACAAGTCTGTGTGTGAAGTATGTCCTCCAGATGATTCTGTCATAATCATTCTCGCTTTTCATAGAAAAGAATTTATATCCATTGAGCTCTAACTCTGTAATTTTGTAAATGAGAGGACCATGACTTGCTGAGTTGGCTGCATCTTTGTTTTATTCCTTTAATGCAGGGAACCTGGGAACTAGTCCAATAGCGGGGCTCTAAAATCCAGAAAATTGGAATGGGTAATTCTCGCATAAGCCAAAAGAAAGTCGTAAAAATGAATGAAGTGAAAAAGTCAAATAGGTTCAAGAAATCAGGATAAGGGAAATTTACAATACCCCATGGGAACAGAATAAGAGATAACCTACAATTGTCAGAATTCAGCATTTTTCCTATTTTGGAGATGTCTCTAAATTTAATTAGGGAAATGGAAAGTCCAGATACTGGCTCTTCTTTGGGAGAAGATTTGTTCACTGTAGACCATTGAGTGAAGCAAAGACAAATAGATAATTTAAATTATTTTTATTGTTATTATAACTGGATTTGTGGGTTGATGATACATGGCTAGGTTACTTTTTAAAAAACAAGATGACTTGCACTCTACATCTTTCTACCCATCATTGCCTCTCTGGTTCTTCCCCTCTGGTATCATCCTCAGGTTACCACCCTTCTATTCATTTATTCAACAAAGATACATAGAGGTCTGCAAGATGCCGTGGTTTTGTGCAAAGCTATGAGAAACAAATGATTGATAGAAAATAAGGTCTCATTTTCTCGCCCATCTTGGTTTAGTGAAATACACGTAATAATAATGGTTATGAAAATAACTGCTTTATTGGGAGTTTGTGTAGTGTAAGAGGATTCACCATACTTAGGGGATTTGGGAGAGGCCTGTGAAAGGGTAAATGATTTTATTTAGAGAGGTCTTAAAGATGGAGCAGATATTTTTAATTGGAGAAATGAAGGATGTGGCAGTTTTTCAGACAGAGGCAACTGAATGTGTCCTACATTAAAGGCATGATCATTTTAGAGACCAGTAAGTCTAAGGAAAAGAACTATAGTTCTACAATTCTGTGAATCTCAGTTCACAAAGTTGAGTATGCAAAAATGTAACTTACTTTTCCATTTATAAACCCATTTTCTGTTTTGATTTCCTGTTTGGCCAATTGGTAGAAATGAAATTTCATTCAATTCAAAAAGTTTTTCCCTCATATACAGACATACCTTGAAAATATTGCAGGTTAGGTTTCAGAACACAATAATAAAGCAAATGTCACAATAAGTTACATGAATTCTTTGGTGTCCCAGTGCATATGCAAGTTATGTTTATACTATGGTCTATTAAGTATGCAATAGCATTATTCTAAAAAGAAACATAGATATATTAATTAAAAAGTACTTTATTGCTAAAAATGCTAACAAAGTGAGCACATCCTATTAGAAAAGTGGTATGCTAGTCCTGCTTGATGCAGGGTTGCTACAAACCTTCAATTGCAAACAAACAAAAAAACAAAAAGCATTATCTGCAAAGCCCAATAAGGCAAACCACAATAAAATGAAGCACGTTTGTATTTGGGTTAGGTGCAAATTCTGTGAGATTTACACAATGCCAACCCATAGTGAGGAGAGGCACTTGGTCTGTGGTCATTGTCTCTTGTCCATGTTGGCATCTGTGAAACACCCTGTTCCCCTGTAGTCTTCCATTTTTGGTCCCTACAGCTCTGTGCTGAATCCTCTTCCTCCCAGAAGGTTCTCTGTGCCTACTCTTCTCTCAGCTGCTTCTGCTCCCATCTCTAGTTCACAGCAAATGTGTGGTCACCTCCAGACCACTCTTGGGCCTTAGGAACCTCTGAGAGATTCTAGAAATGCTTCTATCTGGATATCTTAAACAGTCTTTTCTACTCTATACCTTCCATGAAATGGAGGGTGGTGGATATTTAGAGTCTTTCTGGGTCCCCAGTTTCTACTTTAACTTGTGACATATGGGACTTCTCACACTTACGCAGCCAAACCCATTTGAGCACCCTATCATCCCCTATGCCTCAGGACTTCTAGTAGGGTTTGGGGGTGTTTTTGTTTGTTTGTTTTTGAAGGAAGGGCATTGGAGCAGAACAGAGAGGTAGAAAATCTGACAAATCACTCACTTCTAAATAATGTTAGTTCATATGCTTAATTATTTAAACCTTTGTTTTCTGTTTGCATTCTGCTTTAATGACTCTCTTCTTTTGGAGCAATGGATGCCTCTGAACTAGCTAGACAAATGTAAGAGAGTTACAAGGTATCTTGAAAAGACACATGGGTAAATTTTAAATTTTTCATCTGACCACAAGTATGAATGGATATAAAACTAGAATAATACACACCACGTTGCTGGTTTTCTTTCGAGAGTAGAATTAAGAATGGTTTTTAACTTTCTGATTTTGTATTGTATCTGATTATGACCTGAATTTTCTACAATTTTGCAATTAGCATTACTTTTATTTTGGCTTAAACTCGTAGGCATTAAAATATTAGTCTAAAGAAGTACATTTACAAATGTGGACAGAGGCTGACTACAGAACTTTAAATCTCACTCTAATAAATAAAGGGTTTAGTCTGCAAATGGGAAAAAGGGATTGAGACTTAAAGCAATTCAGATTTTACTGAAATGGAGCAATTTAACAAATTGGAGCTTCCAAAAATTCCTTTTGACAACGGGGTTGTCAGTGGGTTGGAAGGGTAGAAAACAGAGTAAAAGAGAATAGGAATGAATTCAGTGCTGTGGTTGATTAAGGAAGGAGCAGTAAGGATGTAGAAGAGTGAAGGAAAAGAAAAAGAGAGGTTCCTACTAAAGCCCATGCCAATTAATTCATTCATAGTATCATAAAAATAGGATGTCAGAGCTTAAAATGCCTTGGAAATCAACCAGCATAAGCTGATCATATTTCAGATGAAATAATGGTGGCAGAAAGAAACAGTCATTCACCTAAGGTTATGAAAATATCCATGAACCTAAACCAAATTTTGTGCTCGTAAATGTAAAAGCTGCCCTGCTACACTTGGCGTCTGGCATCTTTCCTGACATAATGAATATAACTGAGTAAAGATATTAAGTTAGCTTTTATTGGAAATCTTTGATGTGGCAGGCACTATGACAGGCTCTTCAGATTTATTATTTCTAATTTTCACAATTACCCTTCATTGTAAGTGAGATAATGCACTGTGATGGCCCTTTTCAGAGATGCAGAAGCTGAGGCCCAGAGAAAGTAAATAACTTGCCCAAGTTCACACATGCCAAAGCTAGAATTTAAACCTTGATTTCTCTGATTTTATTAGCAATCTCAGTTCAATAGTAGGGGAATATATACAAACTATGGTTACAGAACTTACCAAATATCTTAAAGGGTTAATCTCTCTACCTTCAAGTTTTCAGCAGTGACCTGCCACTTGAAGGCTGAGACTGGGAAAGAATGTTTTAGTCCCTTTAGAATACTGGTCAGTTATTTAGCTCTTTGATGATACGCTGTCACCTCTAAGCCACATGGGCTAGCTTTAGGTCTTCCTTGATGTATGAGAACATTTGGAATTCAGTCTTTGATTTGAAAACCATTAGAGGCTCTATGAGAGCCTCTAATTCCGATTTTTTTAAATTATACTTTAAGTTTTAGGGTACATGTGCACAACGTGCAGGTTTGTTACATATATATACATGTGCCATGTTGGTGTGCTGCACCCATTAACTCCTCATTTAGCATTAGGCGTATCTCCTAATGCTATCCCTCCCCCCTCGCCCCACCCCACAACAGTCCCCGGTGTGTGATGTTCCCCTTCCTGTGTCCATGTGTTCTCATTGTTCAATTCCCAGGTATAAGTGAGAACATGTGGTGTTTGGTTTTTTGTCCTTGCAATAGTTTGCTGAGAATGATGGTTTCCAGTTTCATCCATGTCCCTACAAAGGACATGAACTCATCATTTTCTGTGGCTGCATAGTATTCCATGGTGTATATGTGCCACATTTTCTTAATCCAGGCTATCATTGTTGGACATTTAGGTTGGTTCCAAGTCTTTGCTATTGTGAATAGTGCCGCTATAAACATATGTGTGCATGTGTCTTTATAGCAGCATGATTTACAATCCTTTGGGTATATACCCAGTAATGGGATGGCTGGGTCAAATGGTATTTCTAGTTCTAGATCCCTGAGGAATCGCCACACTGACTTCCACAATGGTTGAACTAGTTTACAGTCCCACCAACAGTGTAAAAGTGTTCCTATTTCTCCACATCCTCTCCAGCACCTGTTGTTTCCTGACTTTTTAATGATGGCCATTCTAACTGGTGTGAGATGGTATCTCATTGTGGTTTTGATTTGCATTTCTCTGATGACCAGTGATGATGAGTATTTTTTCATGTGTTTTTTGGCTGCATAAATGTCTTCTTTTGAGAAGTGTCTGTTCATATCCTTCACCCACTTTTTGATGGGGTTGTTTTTTTTCTTGTAAATTTGTTTGAGTTCATTGTAGATTCTGGATATTAGCTCTTTGTCAGATGAGTAGGTTGCAAAAATTTTCTCCCATTCTGTAGGCTGCCTGTTCACTCTGATGGTAGTTTCTTTTGCTGTGCAGAAGCTCTTTAGTTTAATTAGATCCCATTTGTCAATTTTGGCTTTGGTTGCCATTGCTTTTGGTGTTTTAGACATGAAGTCCTTCCCCATGCCTATGTCCTGAATGGTATTGCCTAGGGTTTCTTCTAGGGTTTTTATGGTTTCAGGTCTAACATTTAAGTCTTTAATCCATCTTGAATTAATTTTTGTATAAAGTGTAAGGAAGGCATCCAGTTTCAGCTTTCTACATATGGCTAGCCAGTTTTCCCAGCACCATTTATTAAATAGGGAATCCTTTCCCCATTTCATGTTTTTGTCACGTTTGTCAAAGATCAGATGGTTGTAGATGTGTGGTATTATTTGAGGGCTCTGTTCTGTTCCATTGGTCTATATCTCTGTTTTGGTACCAGTACCATGCTGTTTTGGTTTGGTTACTGTAGCTTTGTAGCATAGTCTGAAGTCAGGTAGCGTGATGCCTCCCAGCTTTTGTTCTTTTGGCTTAGGATTGACTTGGCAATGCAGTCTCTTTTTTGGTTCCATATGAACTCTAAAGTAGTTGTTTTCCAATTCTGTGAAGAAAGTCATTGGTAGCTTGATGGGGATGGCAGTGAATCTATAAATTACCTTGGGCAGTATGGCCATTTTCATGATATTGATTCTTTGTACCCATGAGCATGGAATGTTCTTCCATTTGTTTGTATCCTCTTTTATTTCATTGAGCAGTGGTTTGTAGTTCTCCTTGAAGAGGTCCTTCACGTCCCTTGTAAGTTGGATTCCTAGGTATTTTATTCTCTTTGAAGCAATTGTGAATGGGAGTTCATTCATGATTTGGCTCTCTGTTTGTCTGTTATTGGTGTATAAGAATCCTTGTGATTTTTGCACATTGATTTTGTATCCTGAGACTTTGCTGAAGTTGCTTGTCAGCTTAAGGAAATTTTGGGCTGAGACAATGGGGTTTTCTAGATATACAACCATGTCATCTGCAAACAGGGACAATTTGACTTCCTCTTTTCCTAACTGAATACCCTTTATTTCCTTCTCCTGCCTGATTGCCCTGGCCAGAACTTCCAACACTATGTTGAATAGGAGTGGTGAGAGAGGGCATCCCTGTCTTGTGCCAGTTTTCAAAGGGAATGCTTCCAGTTTTTGCCCATTCAGTATGATATTGGCTGTGGGTTTGTCATAGATAGCTCTTATTATTTTGAGATACGTCCCATCAATATCTAATTTATTGAGAGTTTTTAGCATGAAGGGTTCTTGAATTTTGTGAAAGGACTTTTCTGCATCTATTGAGATAATCATGTGGTTTTTGTCTTTGGTTCTGTTTATATGCTGGATTTATTGATTTGCGTATATTGAACCAGCCTTGCATCCCAGGGATGAAGCCCACTTGATCATGGTGGATAAGCTTTTTGATGTGCTGCTGGATTCGGTTTGCCAGTATTTTATTGAGGATTTTTGCATCAATGTTCATCAAGGATATTGGTCTAAAATTCTTTTTTTGTTGTGTCTCTGCCCGGCTTTGGTATCAGGATGATGCTGGCCTCATAAAATGAGTTAGGGAGGATTCCCTCTTTTTCTATTGATTGGAATAGTCTCAGAAGGAATGGTACCAGCTCCTCCTTGTACCTCTGGTAGAATTCGGCTGTGAATCCATCTGGTCCTGGACTTTTTTTGGTTGGTAAGCTATTGATTATTACCTCACTTTCAGAGCCTGTTATTGGTCTATTAAGAGATTCAACTTCTTCCTGGTTTAGTCTTGGGAGGGTGTATGTGTCGAAGAATTTATCCATTTCTTCTAGATTTTCTAGTTTATTTGCATAGAGGTGTTTATAGTATTCTCTGACGGTAGTTTGTATTTCTGTGGGATAGGTGGTGATAGCCCCTTTATCATATTTTATTGCATCTATTTGATTCTTCTCTCTTTTCTTCTTTGTTAGTTTTGCTAGCAGTCTATCAGTTTTGTTGATCCTTTCAAAAAACCAGATCCTGGATTCATTAATTTTTTGAAGGGTTTTTTGTGTCTCTATTTCCTTCAGTTCTGCTCTGATCTTAGTTATTTCTTGCCTTCTGCTAGTTTTTGAATGTGTTTGCTCTTGCTTTTCTAGTTCTTTTAAATGTGATGTTAGGGTGTCAATTTTAGATCTTTCCTGCTTTCTCTTGTGGGCATTTAGTGCTATAAATATCCCTCTACACACTGCTTTGAATGTGTCCCAGAGATTGTGGTATGTTGTATCTTTGTTCTCATTGGTTTCAAAGAACATCTTTATTTCTGCCTTCATTTCATTATGTACCCACTAATCATTCAGGAGCAGGTTGTTCAGTTTCCATGTAGTTGGGCGGTTTTGAGTGAGTTTCTTAATCCTGAGTTCTAGTTTGATTGCACTGTGATCTGAGAGACAGTTTGTTATAATTTTTGTTCTTTTACATTTGCTAAGGAGTGCTTTACTTCCAACTATGTGGTCAGTTTTGGAGTAGGTGTGGTGTGGTGCTGAGAAGAATGTATATTCTGTTGATTTGGGGTGGAGAGTTCTGTAGATGTCTATTAGGTCTGCTTGGTGCAGAACTGAGTTCAATTCCTGGATATCCTTGTTAACTTTCTGTCTCATTGATCTGTCTAATGTTGACAGTGGGGTGTTAAAGTCTCCCATTATTAATGTGTGGGAGTCTAAGTTTCTTTGTAGGTCACTCAGTACTTGCTTTATGAATCTGGGTGTTCCTGTATTGGGTGCATATATATTTAGGATAGTTACCTCTTCTTGTTGAATTGATCCCTTTACCATTATGTAATGGCCTTCATCTCTTTTGGTCTTTGTTGGTTTAAAGTCTGTTTTATCAGAGACTAGGATTGCAACCCCTGCCTTTTTTTATTTTCCATTTGCTTGATAAATCTTCCTCCATCCCTTTATTTTGAGCCTATGTGTGTCTCTGCACGTGAGATGGGTTTCCTGAATACAGCACACTGATGGGTCTTTACTCTATCCAATTTGCCAGTCTGTGTCTTTTAATTGGAGCATTTAGCCCATTTACATTTAAGGTTAATATTGTTATGTGTGAATTTGATCCTGTCATTATGATGTTAGCTGGTTATTTTGTGCATTAATTAATGCAGTTTCTTCCTAGCCTCAATGGTCTTTACAATTTGGCATGTTTTTGCAGTGGCTGGTACCAGTCGTTCCTTTCCATGTTTAGTGCTTCCTTCAGGAGCTCTTTTAAGGCAGGCCTGGTAGTGACAAAATCTCTCAGCATTTGCTTGTCTGTAAAGGATTTTATTTCTCCTTCAGTTATGAAGCTTAGTTTGGCTGGATATGAAATTCTGGGTTGAAAATTCTTTTCTTTAAGAATCTTGAATATTGGCCCCCACTCTCTTCTGGCTTGTAGAGTTTCTGCAGAGAGATCAGCTGTTAGTCTGATGGCCTTCCCTTTGTGGGTAACCCGACCTTTCTCTCTGGCTGCCCTTGACATTTTTTCCTTCATTTCAACCTTGGTGAATCAGACAATTATGTGTCTTGGAGTTGCTCTTCTCAGGGAGTGTCTTTGTGGCATTCTCTGTATTTCCTGAATCTGAATGTTGGCCTGCCTTGCTAGATTGGGGAAGTTCTCCTGGATAATATCCTGCAGAGTGTTTTCCAACTTGGTTCCATTCTCCCTGTCACTTTCAGGTACACCAATCAGACATAGAGTTGGTCTTTTCATATAGTCCAGTATTTCTTGGAGGCTTTGTTTATTTCTTTCTATTCTTTTATCTCTAAACTTCTCTTCTTGCTTCATTTCATTCATTTCATCTTCCATCACTGATACCCTTTCTTCCAGTTGATCGCATCGGCTCCTGAGGCTTCTGCATTCGTCACATAGCTCTCGTGCCTTGGTTTTCAGCTCCATCAGGTCCTTTAAGGACTTCTCCTCTGCATTGGTTATTCTAGTTGTTATCCATTCTTCTAATTTTTTTTTTCAAAGCTTTTAACTTCTTTGCCATTGGTTCGAATTTCCTCCTGTAGCTCGGAGTAGTTTGATCATCTGAAGCCTTCTTGTCTCAACTCGTCAAAGTCATTCTCCATCCAGCTTTGTTCTGTTGCTGGTGAGGAGCTGCGTTCCTTTGGAGGAGGAGAGGCGCTCTGCTTTTTAGAGTTTCTGGTTTTTCTGCTCTGTTTTTTTTTTCCCATCTTTGTGGTTTTATCCACCTTTTGTCTTTGATGATGGTCATGTACAGATGGGGTTTTGGTGTGGATGTCCTTTCTGTTTGTTAGTTTTCCTTCTAACAGACAGGACCCCCAGCTGCAGGTCTGTTGGAGTTTGCTAGAGGTCCACTCCAGACCCTGTTTGCCTGGGTATCAGCAGCGGAGGCTGCAGAACAGCGGATATTGGTGAACCGCAAATGCTGCTCCCTGATTGTTCCTCTGGAAGTTTTGTCTCAGAGGAGTACCTGGCTGTGTGAGGTGTCAGTCTGCCCCTACTGGGGGGGTGCCTCCCAGTTAGGCTACTCGGGTGTCAGGGACCCACTTGAGGAGGCAGTCTGCCCGTTCTCAGATCTCAAGCTGCATGCTGGGAGAACCACTACTCTCTTCAAAGCTCAGTTGGAAATGCAGAAATCACCTGTCTTCTGTGTTGCTCACGCTGGGAGCTGTAGACAGGAGCTGTTCCTATTCGGCCATCCTTGGCTCCTCCCCTACTGGCCTGGAGCTGAGTCAATTTGGGGAGCTGAGTGAAATACGTGGGTAGAGGAAGCAGTGGGTAAGGTCCTGGGAGCTCGCTGCATCCCCAAGCAGGTCATTCCTGCCTGGCACCACAGGGATCCATCGGGAGGGTGGCCAGAGGAGCTGGGGGGTAGGGAACACTCTCATCTCTTATTTCTTTCCCTGTGTTACCTTTCCACAGGCCTCTTTTGTATCTCTCAAAGTCTTGAGCTTCATCCTGGGAATTTATGGAACTCATTTAAAGGTGGGCCTCAATGACCTCAAATGCAGCCAGCAGTAAATTTTAGGACATTCTCTCGAAGCTAAAGGTTACACTGTTTTCAAGTGAAAAATACCTTTTTGGAGTCATTTTTAGGAACTGAACAGGATCTTGTTTCTTATTTTCTGTTGATGTATTGGTATATCCACATTCTCCTCTTAACTTCCTCCCTGTTTAACTTCCTATTGCTCCACCTTTTTCAGAATACCATATTCCTTCACCCTGCATTGGGCAGGGCAATGGGAGCTAAAGCTGTTGGTCCAAGAGGAACACAGCTAAATGACACAAATGGGTTATACCCACAAATCCAACATCACAGTATTGTAATCAGTATAGGGTTCAGTACTATGCATGGTTTCGGACATGGTCACTATGTCCTGAGGATTGTAGAGGCCAAGATCACCAGGGATTGGAGAGTTCAGGAAATATTTAATAGAAGAGGTTGCATTTGAGCTGGACTTCCAGGACTTTTTGTCTTTTACATGTTTGTCTGATTATAACAATAGCACATGCTTATTGATAAGTATTTAGAAAATGCAGATGTATATAAAAAGGAAAACTATCAATCAATCATAAGCTCATCAGTCTGAGATAACCACTGTGTTTGTGTCTTTATTATAGACAATAAGTATTTTTCATGTTTTAAATGTTTTTAATTTTAAAACATTTAAACATAAAACATTTAAAACATTAAAATTAAAATTTTAATAACTTTTTAAAAATTCTATAAAGTTGATCATTATGTAAATATGTCATTATTTATTTACACAGACTCCTGATGATCATTTCATATATTCATCTAATAAATATTTACTATGTGACCACCTATGTGTTAGACATTCTAGGACTGGAGGTATAATAATATACAAGCTAGATAAAGTCATTGTCCTTGTGGAGCTTACATTCTCTGGGAAGAACAATAACAAGCAAAGAAAGAGTTCGTGTGTGTGTAAAGGGGGTTGTAGGCATGCACACATGTATATCAAGTAGTGATGAATGTATAAGGAATAGGTGCTAGAGAGTGATGGGAGATACTTCAATTCTTTCCAGCTTTTTAGTCATAAAACAAGTGCCTGGATAGCAACTCTTAGCAATAGTACAGTAGTCCCCCCTTACTGGCAGTTTCACTTTCTAAGGTTTTAGCTACTTATATTTAACTGTGGTCTGAAAATAGGTGAGTACACCACAAAAATATAACTGTGCTATAATAAAATTTATGTGAATGTGGGCTCTCTTTGTCTGTCCTTTAAAATATAATTGTTTACATTATTATTATTTATTGTTAATCTGTTATTGTGTCTAATTTATAAATTGAATTTTATCAAAGGTATGTATGCATAGGAAAAAACATACTATCATGGTCTACATAGGGTTCAGTACTATCTGCGGTTTCAGGCATCCAGTGAGAGTCTTGCAACATATTACCTGAAGATAAGGGGAAACTACTGTAAATGAAAATATCTGTATTGCTTCCCCCTGAACAATACTGTATGTTTCTCTTTAAATGCTTGCCTTTTTTAGGCCCAAGATGGAATCTGTGTTTTAGTGTTTTTTTTTTTTTCCATTTACTATTTGTCAGGTTGAACAATTTCGTTAGCTATTTGTATTTATTTATTTTTGAATTTCCTATTCCTGTTTTGATGTAAATCTACAAAATTTGAACATGGAGGAAAGACATTCCAGCAGGAGGAAATGATATGAGCAAAGACACAGAGGTGGGACCCCCTAAAGTGTGCTGTGGAATGCTGTTGATCCTAGATGAGGGTGGCCATGTTCATGTAAATGTGCACACAAGCTGAGATACATAAGAACATCCAATGATTTTGAGTTAAAATGTAGTCTTGTGTCTGGTGGTTGATCAGTAGCATTGATGATTGCTAAATATTCTGGATCCCCTTCCTTTGATTGTCCTTCTTGTGAGAGGACGATGCATCCACCCTGCTGAACTCAGGGGTGAGCATGTGAACTCCTACCAATGGCATCATGGTGGGAACAACAGCCAGAACTTTGAGACTCATCACATAATTCCCCATCTCCTCTCTGTCTCTCCCTTGAGTTTGGAAATGTTCCAGATAAAGACTACTTTTTCAGCCTAAATTTCTGAATAAAGGTGACTAATTGGTCTTCAGGGAATTTGTGTGCTGTGTTGTCACAGAAAGATAGAAAAAGAAAGATTTTCTACATATTCAAGTCTCAATACCTACTGAAAGACCTGCATAAATGCACGCTAGAGAAGGAACAGCCTTGTTGAGAAATTTCTGTGCCTTATCTGAACAATTTTTCCTCAGTTTTCTGTGAGCACTCACAAAGCCACCACTAGCTTTCAGGAAGTGACCACACACCATCAAGAGGATCAGCTGCTCAGGAAGGCAGGACCAGATAAGGTATAGGCGAGCCCGGGAGCAGGCTTCAACCACAGTGGCAGGAGGAAGTGGATTTGGTGCACTGCAGAAAGCAAGGACACTTTTAGCTAAAATGTGATGGGCACCTACTGTGCTATACACATTATCTCATTAAAGACTCACCCTTTCATCTGGGATGAAAAGCATTATCCCGTGTTTATGAAAGAAGAAACAAGTGTCAGCTCCACCTCCAGAACCTGTAAAGGCAATATTCAAAATAAGCAGAGGAAAGAATTTCTGATAATTAGTAATATTGCATCATATATACTAAGTAGCGGGTTGGAGTAAATTTGGTGAAAAGATTGTTGTTGAACAGACTGCAAAAGGAGCACAGCAGAAGAAAAGAGCAGGAGCATAGTGGGAGCTGCAAAGCAGCTGTGCATGCAGTAGTGTTCACTGGCCCATGGGTGCCCCATCTGACTCCCACAAGAAGTCCATGAAAGCCACATTGGCACACACTCTTCCACATTGGTGCACTCTTCCACATGCTTTCATTTATTTTTTCCTCTTCTTGCTCTTCTCTTATTCTTTAATCCAGCAAATCCAAATTATAAAGGAAATATATTTCCTCTCTAGTCTCAAGTGAGAATATTTATCAAAATTTCAGTTCCCATTACAAAATAAAATAAGTCAACAATGGACACTGGAGGCTGCTGGAAGCGGGAGGGGTAAGCATTGAAAAACTGTTAGGTACCATGCTCACTACTAGGGTGACATGATCATCCGTATTCCAAACCTAGTATCGTGTAATATACCCACATAACGAACCTGCACATGTACTTCCTGAATCTAAAATAAAAGTTAAAATTATTTAAAGTATCAGTAGACAATATGACTTATCCTATAGACTCTTTTGTTTAACGAAGCCTAAAGCTATTGTATAAAGCCCGTAGCTAACTATAAGCCAAACTTAAATGAATAAAATAAGCACAACATTTAGCTCTTATATCTATCAATCATCTATCTATCAATCAATCTTTCTATCATCTGTCAATCATCCATTGAGCTAGGCATTCATGAGGCTTCAGATGACCCCTGTCATCCGAAAGTGAATATTTTCTATAAAATATTGGTTTTCTAGGTCACCGTTTTCACACTGTGGGGTCATGCCTCATAACTCATTAGTGAGTGATAAAATCAATATAATGGGTAGCAAACAGTATGCACACACACACACACACACACACACACACACAAGTAGGACAGAATAGAAAATATTGTATTTTCTCTTAACAAGACATGTCAAAAGAGAAAATGCAATTTTATAAAACTCTTGCTTCAGTACATTAGCAGACATAAAAAACTAAGTGCTAAACCAAAAATGTTTAAAAGTCTCCGTTCTACAGTATGGTTCATATATTTTCTGAGCTAATAAAATAATTTTTAAAAACAAACATACATACATACATGCATATACCTTGTAACTGTAAGTAAGTAAATTATTTAACTTATCTGAAAATATTTACTTGTAAGTAAATATCAACGATACAAAGTCATGATAAAGGACTATTATGAAGAATAAAATGAGAACATGTTGCACAAGTCCCTCAAACTACATCCAGCAAATAGCAAATAAATTGTAGCTATTGTTCTTATTATAAAATTACACAGAGCATAACACTAGAATCAAAAAGTTGTGAGAAGAACAAAAATATCCTTTAGTCATCTGCATTGGAGACCACTCACATGCAAGCTTAAATTCTTGGGTCCTCGCCTCTTCACTATTCTCTGCTGCAGAGATTTGCTTAGCACAGGCTTCTATCACCTGCACCATGGCCTCCCACTCCTGCCCCATGGTCTCTCAGATGCCATAGTAGGAGATGTCTGTAGAAACCAAACGGCAGGATAATTAACCCCTACGTGTCCAACCTTGTCCACTGGGGTCTGGGAACTAATTAATAATTTGTGGGAGCTCAGAACATGATATGTGAAAACATGGCACTCAGCAATTGAAAAAGCTACAGGAGCTAGAAGGTCACTCTGACCACCCCCACTTTTCTGTATAAAGCATAGTTATAAAACATTTTTTTTAATCTACCTTAACTGAAAGTAAGTCATAAGACCCGCATTCCAGAGGAGTACTGCACCAAACCTGGAGAGAAGGAATGATACACAGAGAAGCCAAGAAGAATTTGAACCTTTCAGGGCCTTTCTGGGTTCCCTCCCCCCACCTTCAGTTTATTATCATGAAGTTTCACCCTGTTTTTTGTACACTGACATTTCTACAGGACTGTCCATTCCTCATTGAACCTAAGTATAAAAATGCAGTTTTTTGGGGGGGGGTCCTTGAGTCCTCATTTCCGAACGCTCTCATGTCACATAAAACATTGTTAAATCAATTGGCTGTGCTTTTCTCTTATGAATCTGTCTATTGTTATAGCACTGTAAGTAATAACTTACAGTGGGTGAGGAAAAATATTTACTTTTTCACTCCCACAAATTGATTCCCCCTTTGTCCCTTAGGTGGTCAGTTCCAAGATTCATGTCACAAGTTTCCTTAAAAGTTCTCTCTGAATCAAGCTTCTTTGCCTGTCACAGTAGACAATGGGATCATACATATTTGGATTGCCTTTCTCTACTTCCTGCTTCTCTCCCCTCACCCCCCATAGGGGCAATAAGGTAATAACTTTTTCTCATCCGTCATAAGGGTCACGGATGACAGTCCTGTAACAAAAGACAGATTAACAGAAAAAAAAACCCATAAGTTTATTTAACCAGGGTTTTATGTGACCCCCATACCCAGGGAAAACTGTGTGCTTTTATTCTAAGTCTGATGAAAAAAGTGAAAAGTTGTGAAGAAGCATGATTGGACAAAGAAAGTAGAATCTAATAGTAATCAACTGCGAGGAGACCAAGCAAGGCCTACTTGTTCAGATTATTCTTGGGCTCTCTATGTGGCATTCCTCTCTCAGCATATGGGGCAGGAACTCTAGAACAAGACCCTCATGACCTGCTTTCAGGGAAGGTAGGCCAGAGAGTGACGTTTCTAGGTTTTATGGTTCACTTTGAGGGAGAGGAGTTCTAACTTCTATAATCTGAGGTGGGGAGAAAAATTCTTGACACATCTTGGGGGAGCGTGGGGAAAGGAAGAAGGGAGAGCATGAGAAGGTCAGAGTGACCTTTCTTCTAAGGCCTACCAATCTCCTTCCTAACGAAATACTCAGCATGCCATGACACCATATTTTGGGATATCGTGTTCTGATCCCTGATATGCTCATTTCTCTTCCCTAGAATCACTTTCCAAATATCACTTTCCAAATAAAGCACAGCTGGTCCCAGACTTACAATGATTCGACTTACGATTTTTGACTTTATGATGGTTTGAAAGCCATATGCATTCTGTAAAAACTGTACTTCAAATTTTGAATTTTGATCTCTTCCCAGGCTAGCAATATACTGTACTCTACTCTTTGTCACTGGCAGCCACTGCCCCCAGTCAGCCAAGCAATTACAAGGGCAAACAACCAGCACTCTATGGGGTTCTATGTTGTTAGATGATTTTGCCCGGCTGTAGGCCAATGTAAATGCTGTGAGCACATATAAGTAGGCTCGGCTAAGCTACAATGTTCTGTAGGTTAGGTGTATAAGATGCATTTCTTAGCTACATATTTTCAACATATGATGGGTTTATCTAGAGGTAACCCAAGTTAAGAAGCATCTACCCCTGCATGCAAGCCTCTGTCTTGGGCTCTGCTCTTAAGGAGATCCAAGCTAAGAAAGTCTCCAACCTCCTTTCTTCATACCTATCTTATTCTTTCCACTGCTAGTGTTGTTCTTAGTAATTAGAGAAAATGAACCCCAGGAAGCGAGGCTCTTAGCAATGTTATGATACACCTAGAACACTCTGGTCTCCATTTCCAGCTTCTAGTGTCTTTTGTGAGGGAAGGAAGTAGACAGCAAGAAACCTAAAGATGTCCTTGACTTTATTAATTTGGAGATTTCAGGAATCATTGTCTTTTTCTAAAAGAGAAAACTGAAAAGTATCAAAAGGAATTTTTGATGTCAAGACAAATAGGACTAGCTCCAATAATAAGCACTATTCTTGAACAGGGCATACGTTTGCCTTGTTTGTAAATACATGGCTGCATTTCTGCTCCACCAGAGTAAGTGACATATGCAAATCCTGTATAATAATCCCTTTCTAAGAAGGCTGCTTATTTGCTTTTTATGTTTGTTTCTGTAAATTGATTAGAGAGGAATTTGTTTATACCCCAAATAAGACAATAGAGAATTGTAATCATATTTCACCACAGGCCTCCAATTTCTGCCCTAGAGAATATAATGAAATGATGGAAACACCTCCTCCTTCTGCGGAACTGAAAGCTGTGCTTTAGGCTGTTGGCACAATTTCTGCCATGTACACCCCACCAATCATCAAATGGGCCCTAGGATTAAGATCCCTACCTTCAGGCTATGGGCCCATAGCTGCACAGTAATTGCAGTGTTGCTTGCAGTTGTGTTTGATAAGGAATTAATGACATGTGAAACATTCCGACGCATTTAGGATATCTCCTGCCTCATTGTGATTAAGGGAATCAAAATGCATTCTGATCTAGAATTGGAGGTAGCCTAAACCCTCCATCATTCTAAAACCTACACAGTAAGCTAAGACTATTACCTTATGTAATTTGTACTTTAGAAAATAAGGACATTGAATCTCAAAGAAGAAATAATCTTCTCAAAGTCAAATACTAAGTAGGTACAAGAACGCATATTCATACTCATATCTATCTGACTCTTCAAGACCACACTATTCCATCTCACGTTAGCATTTGTGGAATAATTCCTCTGTGCTGAGCATTGTGCTATGTGTTTCTATAAGTATCTATTTTACTAGCATCAGAATACCAACAGCTCCTGAATTTGTATAAGGTAGCTGGCCAGCCAGCTCATAGACGCATTCTCCAGCCTCCCACCAGTTATAGCCAAATATCCAGGTTCTCACCAAGGGAATATGAGCAAAAGTAATATGAGCAACTTTTGCATCACTTCTTTAAAATAAAATTACTTGTTTTCCTTTCTCTCCCTTTCTATTTTCCCTCAGGCAAGAAGCTTGACATAGCATCGATGAGCCCAAGTCAACTATATGAACAAAACAATGTCTCAGGAGGGGCAGGGTATCACGTCAGAAGAATCCTGAGTCCTTAGATGACCTTGTAGAAAAGAGCCACAAACTTACTCTGGGCTACCTTCATACCTCTGAACTATTATGCAGAGAGAAATAAATGTATTCAAATCACTGTTTTTTGGGTTTCTTCATTCATGTAGCTTAGCCTATAACCTAAGTAATGAAACTCCAGAGAACACTGTACACATTACAAAGGAAAATCTAGAGTCAATTTGCCAAAGTTTATGTAGCCTATGAGTGTCAAAGCTGGGATATGAACCCAAATCTTGTCTCCATTTTCAGGGCTTTTAAATCAAACAAACAGTGTAATTGACTTAGAAAAGTGCTTCTCAAAGTTTAGCAAGCATCAGAACCACCTGGAAAGCTTATTACAATGCAGATTCCTGAGCCCCTTCCCTAGAGACTCTGATCAAGGAGGTCTTGGGCCAAACCTAAGAATTGGCAGTTCTAACACGCCCCCATATGATGCTGAGATTACCTGTCTAGTGACCACAGTTTGAGTATCACTGACAGTAACTCCTTAAACAGAGATGGAAGACAACAAAAAAAAGAAAAAAAGAGAGAAATAAGACTTTAACGTTCAAAGGACAGAAGCCCTGGGCATGACTGAAGCAAAGGGAGCAAGAACTGAATCAGGAAAATGCTGATAACAATGATGATAAGAGCCAGCAATTATTGTGTGTCATGCACTGTTTTCATTATCAGATTTGATCCTCACACTCTATGAGGTAATTTAAACAATGCTTTTCATATATGAGGAAACTGAGGTTACTTTCTTTATATCAGACGCCATCCTTGTTACTTGTACTCTGTACAAGGTGAGCGACTAACCTGCATTTCGGTTACATAACTTCAGAATAATAGCTCTTTGATATTTTTATAAAGTAAACACTGTTCATAAAGGAGTGCCTAAAAGATATTCACTAACTCCTTTCCCTAGATGTGCTAAAATCTAACCTCCTATTGAGCTAGACCAGCCAAAATCTACCCAGACATCCCTAAGCCTGTTTTGCCCATTTGTAGCATAGTAATGCCTTACAGACACATTGTAAAAACTAAAGATGTCACGTGGAGGATGGACTCAGTAAATAGGAGAAATTACTCATGTTAAGAAGGAAGGGAATGAAGACAAATCATTCCTGAACAGAGAATTCACAGCATATTGAAGGGAAGTAAAAGGCAGCTTTAAACCTAGCATTTTTAATTATTCCATTTCAATGTCTCTTTTCATGCTGTGCCTATTAGAATAAAATAAAATTTTCAAGTCTTTCTGGCCCCCTTCTGCCTGCTCCAAAACCTAATGGCACTTGTGGCGTTGGACCTCCTTTCAGCTAGAGTGCTGGGCTGAAGCAGTTGTGGAGAACACTTTGATCCCAGCCAGAGTAAAAGCTGAGGACATTCAGTAATAATTTGTCTTGCCTAATAATTTGAAAGTGCCTAAGGACTAACCTCAGAACATCATGACCCCAATGAATGCTTAAAAATAACAAGTTTAAGGAGAGATTGTGTGATCCATATAATGCTGTAATGAAGTGATTGACATCAGTGTCCTGAGCTGGCTGGGGGACATGTGGAGGTGCCAGAGTATTTTCTACAGAGTATCACAGCCGTGCAAGTGGCCAGCCATGGCATTCTGCATGTTGGAACAACCCAGTGTGCTGACAGTATTCATCCCCCAACATCAGGATCTCAATAAACCCATCTGAGACCCAAATCTAAAAATCAAAGACAACTCCAACTAGATTTGATTTTCTCCCCAAAAGTCAATCCCTCCTTTTTACATAAAAGCTGACTCTGGTACATCCTGAAAAGAGGAATGGTTCTGTACCCAGGAACTAAAGTCCTAGAAACCAAGCCTGGATGCCAGCAGTAGCAGGGACATCACGCCATGAGCTGAAGAAGCACTGTTGGGTAGCCACAGACCAAATACTACACTCTTGGGAATTGTCTTTAGCTCTAAGAGAAAATGTGTCATGGGCTGTCTAAATAGTAGGGCTGCATTATTTATGTCATATTTATGCCTTGATTTTTTTCCAAGAAGACTTGAGGTTTACTAAAATATGTGCAAAATGAGACACTGAGGATAAAAGAGGATCAAGACTTTAGTGAGAAAGAACCAACTCCCCATTCAGAAAGCTTTCATATTGGTCATGGTTTGATCTTAGGACTGCTACCTGTGTCTTATTTCCTTATCTATAACAAAAAGCTACCTAATTACCAATTTTATGTTTGTTACTAGCACTACATTATAAAGTAAGGATGGAAGTTCTCTATAAATTGATTTATCCTCCCTTCCTCTCTCAGAAAAGGAATGCCTTAAGATTTCCAGTCTTGCCCTTTTCCGAAAGAAGGCATCTTGGTGTGAAGGAGTAGGAAAAAAAGCATCTTTTAAAAAAATCCCCGATTTGACATGTACTACCTGGAGCACTAAACCGAGTCCACTTTCCTTTTCCTCATCTGTACAATGGATTTCAAAGAGGGAAACTTTGTCATATGTGACTGCATGAATGAACCTGCAGGACATTACGCTAAGTAAAATTAGCCAGGCACAAAAGGACAAATACCACATGATCTCACTTATATGAAATGGAATCTAAAAAAACTGAAGTGAACCTGACCTCAGGCAAGGAGTGGAGTGGTGGTTACCAGAGGCTTGGCGGGGGCAGGGGGCAGGGGGGAAGAAGGATATGCTGGTCAAAGGATATGAAGATGGAAGTTTGCTATAAATTGATATATCCTCAGTTTCTCTCTTAGAAAAGAAATGCCTTAAGTTTTCAACTAATATATAGTAATCCAAGTCATGCAAACATGTTGAAATACAAGTGAATGGGAATGCAGTTAATATATGGATAGCACTGAGACGTCCCTGAAAATTTTTTCAGACGGAGGAAATAAATGTTTTGAGATTTATTGCACAGCGTGCTGACTATTGTAATGTATATTTCAAAATTGCTAAGAGTAAATTTTAGATGTTTTCACCATAAAAAAATAAGTATTTCAAGTGATGGACGTATTAACTAGCTTGATTTAAACATTCTACATTATATACATATATCATAACATCACTTTGTGCCCCCAAAATGTGTACAATTATTTGTTGATTTACAATCAAATTTTTAAAAATTAAAAAATATTACCTGTATCTCAGGGGTTCCATGAGGACTAAAGATGAGACTATTGATATGAAAGTCCTTGATAAAATGCAGAGCTATTTATGAATCACAGTGTTTATTATTTTAACTATTTATAATAATTTGATATAAGTTGCATTAAACATCCTGGGAACATATTAGTGTTATAAAAACTGTAACAGTATATTAATTCTCTGAATTTTCTACCAACTCACACATATAATACACACATACATACAAACACTCACATGTTGACACACACCCAAAACAGAAATAAACATATCCACAGAGCCCTCTGTTTAGGTGCTTCTTTGATCCCCCAGAGTGGCCTGAGCAAAATTCCTAACCTTATGTCTTGGTACACAAGTGATTAAGAATCAGTTGTGAGTAAGGCATAAATAATATGATTCTCAAAAAATGTGGGCATTTCTGTTGCCTATAATGCAACATATACATACAGTTCTAAGATACCTTAAATCCTATAAAATCACAAATTAAAATAATAGGACTATAGAAAACCTAGGAGTGGGACAGAACACTCAAAAGTCTATGCAACATTTTAACCACCGCACTAACAAAAATAATAATGAAATATGTTATCAAAATACAAGCAGAGTTAAAACATCATGTTAAATTCCTAATACGTAGAGATAGCTAAATATGGCTGTATATTTCTTTTTTTCTTTTTTTTTTTTTGAGACGGATTCTTGCTCTGTTGCCCAGGCTGGAGTGCAGTGGTATGGTCTCGGCTCCCTGCAACTTCTGCCTCCCGGGTTCAAGTGATTCTCCTGCCTCAGCCTCCCAAGTAGCTGGGATTATAGGCACCTGTCACCACGCCTGGCTAATTTTTTGTATTTTTAGTAGACACAGGGTTTCACCATGTTGGCCAGGCTGGTCTCGAACTCCTGACCTTGTGATCCACGCACATCGGCCTCCCAAAGTGCTGGGATTACAAGCGTGAGCCACCGCTCACTAAAGGTGATCTGATGGAATAAAGTTTAAGCAATGGTAGATTCTACTAAGTTTGGAGATAAGGGAAAAACACACAAAAATCAAAGGTAACTGTGCAGTAAGTCCTCCAAAAATGGAGCATGTGGCAAAAATAAGCCAAGAAGAAATTATGGCTTGTATATCAGTTATCTATTGCTGCATATCAAACCTCCCCAAATGTAGTAACTTAAAACACCACCATTTATTAGTGTGTCTATAGGTCAGCTGACTGGTTTTACTGACCTGGGCCAGCCTTGACCGATCTCAGCAAGATGCAAGGACCGTTGCATTCGTGATCAGTCAGCAGGTCAGCAGTAGCCTGGCTAACCAAGAAGGAACTCCAGTGTGATATTCTCTGCTTGAAGGAATTTTTAAATCTTTAGCAGGTTAGTCTGGACTTATTCATGTAATGGTCATACAGTTTCAATGGAACAAATGGAATTGTGGAAGGTCTCTTGAGGCCTAGGCTTGAAACTGGTAGGCCATTAATTCTGCCCCTGTTGACTGGCCAGAACAAGTCACAGAGCCAATTCATATTCAAGGGGTGTGGAAATAGACTTCAGTTCATCATGATAGGAGCTACAAAGTGCAAAACGACATTGTAAATAGGTATAAATAGACGATGGGAGAAGAGAATTGAGCCTATTTAACAACCAATTAATCAATGAGAAATACATCTTGCATATGGTATTACCTGCTTCCTCCTTCTGGGTCCCGCTGTGGCCACTTGGTGGTATAAAACACTAATGGGCTAGGAAAAAAAAATTAAAAAAAATTGCTTCCACATTTTCCTGGCATTATTCCTCTATTTACAATCACACATGGACTAATTTAATTCAGATTACAAAAACATATGTTGTAGCACAACAGACCACCGTAATTTATAAATTACTTATTTCACTAAAAAAATTTTCAGGAGAGTTTCAATGTTATCTATATATTAACAGCTTTCTCGCTCACTTGCATCCCAATATGTTTCCTTGACTTGGAAACAAACAACTAAAGTTATATCTACGGCAGAGTTTCTCTGCCTTAGTTAGCACTGTTAACATATTCAGCCAGATAATTCTTTGTTATATGGGATTGTTTTGTGCATTATAGGATGTTTAGCAGCATCTTTGCCCTCTACCTGCTAGCATGGGCCTCAGGTTGTAACCAAAAATGTCTCCAGACACATCCAATGTCCCCTAGAAGGAGGCACAATCACCCTCAGTTGAGAACCACTGTACCAGAGAATCAGCAGTGTGCATAACCTACAGCCTATTGCAACTATGCCACAACTATTAGTCAATTTCAAGATCTCAGGTAAACATCATCTGTTAATGTGTCTCAATAAAAAAAAAAAAAATGATTACTGTGCTTGGGAAGGGCAGACTGTTTTTAGAGGAGAATGATAATTCTCCACTCTGGAGATTGCCTTTCATAAAAAGGGAACACTCCTGAAACCCTTGGCCTTTGTTCATGCTATCGCTCTTCGATGACGACTGAATTTGAGAGAGGAATCATGTACATGTTCCCAGTTCATGTTCATTTACTTTTCCCTCAAGAGAAAACTGCTCACACACTCCGCTCAACTCCTTCACTCTTTAGGGTTTATAGGGTCAGGCTCTATTCCTGTGGGGTATGGAGGGGTGAAAGAAAGTTTTTACCAAGAAGTATTATAATATACTACATTGATCAGGACAGTTGGGACATAGATGGTGAAATGTGGTTTGGGGCAAAACACATGCGAACTACCTGAGCATTTTGATATGCCCAAGGCAAAGACTTCAGTAGCCTGCAGGAAACAATGAAGCCAGTTTTTATAGGTATTATTTTAACTTTTAACTGTTTTAACCAGGACAGAGGGAGTTAGGCCTAAGGTAAATGGAAGTGGGAATTTGTGCATTATGGGTTAAGACAGTTTAAGGCAGCTTTGACCTCAAGCAAGTGGTTTATGCTTTTATAGAGGGAACTAAACATGCTCTGCCTTAAGAAAACAATGTTATGTATCTGCTTATTTTAAGGAAAAGCAAGTGCCCAGCAAAGGTGTGTGTTGTGGGCCTCAGTAACTCTTGAAATGGATAGACATCAAGCCCAGGAAAGGTACAGGCAAAGGACCTCAAGAAAAAGTTTTAGGTCTCAGGTTCAGCAAAGACAGAGGATAGGGGCACTCAGACATCCACAAAGGCACCAGCCACAATTACCAAAGATATGGGCTGGAGGAACCTCAACCAGACGATAGTAGCCTGAGAAAATGTGGATCAGGATAGGTTAATTTCATATAAAGAAGAACCCCTCCCCTTCATAGGGGGAGGGCTTTTAAGCCTAAGCAATTTTGTGCCACAAGAACATTGGATCAAGTCTGAAACTATTATATTTACATGTAGAGGAGTATTGGTGCTATATCACTAGACACAGCCCATACTCATTTCAGCACTAGGAGATGGAAACACTGGGCTCCAAGGGAAAAGAGAAATGGCAATAAAGAGGTTTTCCAAGGTACTCAGATGGTAGGGAAAATGCATCTCCATTATGACAGGGGATATAAATATATATTTCTAAATTTCCAAGAAGGCAGCAATGCCTTAAATGCAACATGCAAGAGAGGAGACAGTTTGTCTCAGTGATTTCCTCCCACCCCATATAGTAAATCAATAATGCTAAAATTAACCTCATTTTTGAGTTTACAAAGCACAGGTCATAGATTTTTGGACAAGGTACCAGATGACTGGCATTGTCTCTAGCCCAAAACAAAAAACCTTTTCTCCATTTTTCCTCCTTTATATAGACTCCATCAAGTCCCTGCTGTAATTCTTGGCAACATTAAGTACATAATTTTATCTGAGATAGTTTCTCTAGGGTCTGGGAATTGGATCATTTTCAAAATTTATTGGGTGTGAGCCAGTGCTGTGATGATCATGCATGTTCTGTTACCTCTTTGGATTTCTCAAAAGAGAGGCTTATAAGAGCTTCGCATTGAACAAATAAAGCTTCTAAGTTCCCAAAGGACTCACAATCATTCCTGTGGAAGCCTGCCTGGCTTCAGCTACTGAAGGAATCCTAACTCCAGCCAGGCATGGATAATCCCTCTGGCTGAGATTAAGCTGAATATTAACTTGGAGAGGAAATAATGAAGGCAGTCAAATAATTTGATTTTCAAATTTAATTCCTTTGAACTTTAATGTCATTGGACTTCAACCTACAAAGAGATTTATATTTCCACCTTTATTTGTCACCCTATTTTGAGAAGCATTTGTATCTAAATTTGCAGCACTTCTAGCTTGGCATTTTATTATTAAATTATTGTAATATTGTTACTTTATCTCTTTAAATAACCCATGAATTGACTATGCTGAGCAAAACAGCTGAATAAATTTGAGTGGAAAATAATTGCCTTGAAATGAAATCAGTTAATGTGTGGTTTGGACCAACTTCAGAGCCTTCTGGGGTCAATAGCTGTACTGCCCACTGGTGGGTCTAGGATAATATATTTTTTTAAAATAGTGGTTAATAATTTTAAAATATCTTCATGAAAGTAAAAAAACAAGACTATCCTTAGAGATGGTGGATCTGCTTACATGAAGGAGATAGTGATCCCACAGATTGGTCATAAGCCTAATGGTTAAGCCCAATGCAATACATTAAGAGAACAAAAAGCTGGGCAATGTGAGGGGTGAGGAATGCCTCTTCTCCACTTCCAGTGTTTCCTTCCAGGTGGAGGGCATTGTTAATGTAACATTACTGACATTCCTGCCTATCAAGCAGTCCTCTCCAAAGAAGAAGTGACTGATTTCACTGGAAAGCTAAGAAGGAATAAAATGAGTGAGCTCATCTCAGTTTCTTCTTTTCTCTTTCGAAAATAATGTTGTCTTCAGAGATCATGTGCTGAAGTCTGCCCAGTCTTTCAATAGGCATAATAGGAAATGCCCTGCGGTGGGTAGGAGGGTTGGGGATGGCATGCGGGAGGTGTTGGGTGTGTATGGGACACTAACAGTCCAGCCATGCCTCTCACTGGATGGATATGTCTTCTTATTCTGAGGTTATTTGCTGAAAGTACATTTGCCACAAATAAAGCCACATTCTCCAATATATTCTTTTTCAGTAATAAAGTTGATATATGACCTCTTGTTTGTATTATTTGGCTTATTTTCAAATGGTTTATAACTTTAGAAAAATACAGAGAGATGTTATTTATTGTACCTTCTTAATTTCCCCAAAAGAGACATTTTTTTCTATTGCACATTTTCATTTTACTTATGTTATAAATTTGGTTTCCAGGACCTTACTGGTTTCAGCCATTTCATGGCACAACAGTAAGGGAGTAAAATCTGGTGTCTCAGAGGCCGTTAATTGTCCTCCATATCCATTTTTCTTTATTCCTTTTAGTATTAGGACTCAAGGTGTGGCTGGGCACATAGCACCTAGCTAGAGACTACATTTCCCAGCTTCCCTTGCGTCTAGGTGTTGCAGTGTGACTAAATTGTGGTCAAAGAGAAGTGATCAGAAGTAATATGGACACTTCTGGGGCTCTTAGAAGGAAGTTGTATGCCATAAACATCTTTCCATAGAATGGAACACAGAAATAGTGGTGGTGAGTCAGCTTCAAGTGTACAGATACAGACAATAATTCTATCAATATTACTCAATGTTGTAGTACACAAGGAGATAAGGAGCTTGCACGACAGTGGAGTTCAAAATACTGCTTTCTTCACTGAGAAAGTCTAGCTAAGAAAAATAACCATCTGGACAAAGCAGTGTGCTCAGTTATGTTATTGACTTACATACTAACACAAGTTTCTTATTTTATTGCAGACTTGTAACAAAGAGTTGATATTTTGAGCAGAATTGCTTAAGAAAATGGCATAGTAATTTAACCAAAAAATATGGGCCCCCTAAGCTAAATAATGTGTACACCTGGACATAGAGTGTGGAATAGTAAGACACTGGAGATTCAGAACAGTAGGAGGATGGGGGGCAGGTGAGGAATGGGAAATTAATTAATGGGTACAATGCACATTATTTGGGTGCTCGTTACACTAAAAGATTAGACGTCATCACTATGCAGTATATCCTGTGTACTTTGTCTTTAGGCTCTGATTAATCAATATCTAAGGGTATGTGTTAATCAGGCTCTTTGACTCACTCTTGATCTTTTTCCTATGGTCTTTGACATGAGTCTTGGGGGACAAGGAAGAAGATAAAAAGTTACATTACCTTCAAATTACATTAACAATAAAAAATTATGATGTAAGGGCCTTTTCCAACTCGATATTACTCAATTCCAGTAGAAGATCCTCATCTTACACAACCATCATCATCCTTTGGCACAGTTGGCCAATCCTCCAGATAACCACACATATCCCCCCCCAATAGAGTATGTGAATGAAAACTTCCATATCCAAACATAACCTGAATTCCTAAAGTAAATATTTGTTAACAACATAAATTATCACGATGAAGGTGGCAGTAGGTTGACTATTTAAAAAATGTATTCTTCAAACGCTCCATGGTATAATAGCTGTATTACCTAAGGGAATGTTAGACGTGAAGAATGAAGTCTAGGGCATTGAGCAAAAATGATTTCAAAACCTCCTTAATTTATAATTTAACTACTATTATTCAATTATCAAAATTTTGGAACATCCAAAGAGGCAAGTCAAAATAATGCAACGTGAAGATCAAGGAGCCTGGAAATAGACCTCATTTGGTCTGTGTCGGGAAATTATATTTATCTAAAATAAACTAGAATTTTAGTACAGAACAGATGCATTTCTAACACATATCTTACTTTCTGTGTTTGGTTTTCTGGTTCTTTACCCCATTCCATTAGTTAGCATGGCCTAGCAAAAAGGTAACAGCTTTTAGAATTGGCAATTTTGTTTTTCTTTCTGTGGTGACACAACAGTGGATTCTGGAGATTTTAAGCTCCTATATATACAGCAGTAACCAGAGAAGCAGAAACAGCCCCATATTTGAGGAGAGGTAGGGTTCAGTAAGCAGGTAGCCAAGCCATATAGAAACCTGTATAACCAAGGTCCAAATAAACAAGTAAGTCAGGTTCAGTAGGAAGAGTAAAAGTTGTGAGACCAATGACGGCAGAATCAAGAGATTCAAAGTGAGAAGATTGACATGGAAAAGTCAGGCAAAATGGGCTCAGAAGTAGAACTAGTTTGAGAATCAGAAACAGAGCTGGGGCTAATGTAAAGCAAGTAAGCACTCAACTTGGGAGCAAAATTGAAGGGGACACAATGTCAGTAATCTAGAAAATAATACTTTAATGTGGTATTTTAAAAATTAAAATGCAAAATAAATCCATAAAGAACAAAATATCAAAATTTTAAGTAAAATCAGGGTCCAGCCCTGTGCTTATGCAGGCCTGCCTCACTCACCTCCCCCCAATCTTAGCCCTGTTAGACTCTGCCTTTATTTCATATTATGATATTTTGTTCTTCAAGGAGTGTTTTGCACTAATTTTGCTTTTTAAAAAATATTGCATTAAAATATTAGTTATCTTAATTTCTGGGTTTATTTGTTCTCTCTTACGTTTTGTGCCCGAGTGCCTCACATACCTCCCCCAAGTTCCCGCCCTAGGCATGGGGTGCACATTCCTACCTTAGCCAGAGCATAGACTTTCTATGTTATCCTAGAAAAGTCATTGCTTGTGTTTTCTCTAATTCTTTAAAATGAAAGACTTAAACTGATGATCTACAATATCCATTTCACTTCTGACATTCTCCAGGTAGTTGGAGAAGGGCGCTAGGGTGAAGGAGTGATAGTTGGGGCATTGTATAAATATGAAAATATAATTAAGCTGGGACTTGCAGAGGAAGCAGAGCTGACGGGTGAAGAGTTAGGGAGCTGCAAGCTGACAGCTGACTTCAGATGTTATCACTGAGCCTTACATTTGGGGCTTTTGTTACTCCTTTTCCTCTTGGATGCTGAGACAAACATTTACACAATTCTGGTGTGAGATGGCAAGGGACAAAAGGAGTCCCTGCGCAGCAGCTAAATGTCACTCTAGAGCTCTGGGATTTAAAAAACAAAGAGAGCACCTGAGGATAGGAAGTCATGACTGCTCTTAGATGGGTACTAAAAAGGCTCATTTTACATCTAGGGCCACATTCCAATGGGGCAGTCTTCAGCGTTGCACGGTTCTTCAATAATTTCTCACTCCAGTGATGATTCCTGCCTGATTATCAGTTTGGTTTTTCAGCTGAGTAGATTTCAAGCTATTGAAAAGCAATAAGGGAGCAAAGACTAGGCCTCAGAGCTGAGTTACAGTGGATTTAATTGGCTATGAGACGCTCTGGCAGAGAAGGGGGAGGCAAGCAGAGCAGTCCCAGAATGCTGAAGTGTTGATGTAGCTGTAATGAGGCAGGAAGAACATTGCTTCAAGGGTGTTTCCAGATGGGTTTATCTTGTTGAAATAAAGTCAGGAAAGACAAGAGAGAGCCCTGCAAATTGTGTTTTAATGTTTGGAAATGGCAAGGCTGCCACTAATATGTCTGCAAATTGGAGGGAGCCTGGACTAATGTGCAGCTCAGAATGTACAGGGAAAATGACCTCCCTTCCCGTCACACCTGTTCACTTTTTCTCTCCTTGCCACTCCCACTCTTGCCTTTATGACCTGGTAACAGGGATACAATGTGTTTGTTTAAGGCCATTGGACGCTAACAGCTTATTTTCACTAAAGTTCTATAGATACAGAGTGAAAGGCAAGAGATGCTGATGCTAGACAGAGGCATAACCAGGTTCTAATATATGGAGGAGTGAGTGTGGGAACAAGATATTGTTGGAAGAATAAGCTTAAATAAAAATTTTAAAGAACCACCTTTGATTACATCCTTCTCTGTCTATGCCTCACAGTCTTACTTTCACTCTACTCTAAAACAATAATGTTGTTTTTGCTGAATGTAGTAGACAGAATGCACATGTTCATTGCTATGCCCTCTTGAAATCTCACTAAAATATGTGTAAAAGCGTTTTTTTTTTTTTAAAGCTATTTAAAAAGGAGGCAACAATCCACCTGAACTGACTCCACTATTCTGGTAGATGGAGTGTAGACACATTAACAGTTGTTGATGTAGCTGTACACAGAAGATGGAAACTTTCCTTCAGAGAAAATTCAGTAAGAAAGACGATTCACCTCTCTGCATTACAGAGTGCCATGGAAATAGGAAGAGCCAGTTATGTCTTAAGGCTTGAAAATAGTATGGCGCCAAAAATAAATGATTGAAAATATTTATAAGGTGCCCCACACTTCAGGACGCCTTCCTTAGCCCACATAGCAAGGTGATTACACCTCCTCTACCTTTGCCAAAAATAGTCTGTTATCTAAACAATTTGAACACAAGAGTAACTGTCAGTTATAGCTGATTGCAGAAGTGAAACACAGTATTGAACATGGGAAGAAACAAGTGAAATCTTTCAGTCAAACAGTGGGGATAATCAGAATATACTCACTCACTTTACAGAGCACTGACACCCACGCTTATAAGCCCTGGTATTTGGTACGATAGAGACTATACTGAATGAACAGAGATAGAAAACATATGCTTGCTCCAATTAGATAGCAGTTCTTGTTTTTTTTCCACATTAACAGATTTAAAGGAATCCTCTCTGAAGTACAATAGACCCACACCTACTGACCTCTGGAAGTTCATCAATAAGCAGCTAATTCCCCTAGTCAATCACTTTATGGTGAATTATATCACTGAACAACTTCTGTCTTTGCAACGAAGTTTCCAGACAGCTTTTTGAATATTTTTTACCTATATATTTGAGGTAACCTCTTAAGTCAGAAACCAAAATAAATATATTTTTTAAAAAAAGTCAAAAGGAAATACCAACGTAATATGGTTTGGACTTGTGTCCCCACTCAAACCTCATGTCAAATTGTAGTCCCCAGTGTTGGAGGATGGGCCTGGTAAGCAGTGATTGGATCATGGGGGCAGGTTTCCCCCTTGCTGTTCTTATGATAATGAATGAATTCTTATGAGATCTGGTTGTTTAAAAGTGTGTAGCACCTCCCCCTTTCCTCTCTTCCTTCTGCTCTGCCCATGTAAGACCTGCCTATATTTCCCTTCCACCATGATTGTAAGTTTCCTGAGGCCTCCCCAGCCATGCTTCCTGCACAGCCCACGGAACCATGATCCAATTAAACTTCTTTTCTTTATAAATTACCCAGTCTCAGGTATTTCTTTATAGCAGTGTGAGAATGGACTAATACACAAGGAAAGAAAGAAAATGTAGGGAGGAGCTAAATAAACAAGCAAATGATCATTTATACCTCCACAGAAGTAAGAGAACATATTTTGTCCATTAAATAAAAGACTACTATAATAATTATCAGAGAAAAAAATAAGAATTTTAGTTCTCTAGATTCTTGCCATGAAAGAATAGCTGCATAAGACTTGCCCACCTGATGCAAATAACTCTGAAGTGGACACAACACATGAAGCAGTTGTCTTCAAGAATCGGACCATAGGCAGCTCAGTATTGTGAGCTTTGAAATGAGAGAAGCACAGAGAGAGAGCACATGTGCCAATGTTCTAGGTCTGAGGGTACACCCCTGTCTACGGTGCTGGAGACCAGGCAGAGTATGGCAGTCTTGCTAACCAAAGAATCAGTTAGTGAAGAGAGCTTCTGAAATGGCTGAAATTTTGGTGTAGGTTACTAGACAGGACAAAGCTGCAGTGTGGAGGGTACTCAGAAGCCTCTTTACCCAACGAGACCTCATCAAAGACTGGCTACACACGTGAAAAATGAGACCCTGTGAATCCCAAAAGAGAGAAGCTGATGCAGGGCAGAGACCTAAATGAAAATGCCATAGGTCATTCAATGCCAGAATATACTGGAGGACCAATCCAGGTTAGAGTGAAGAAGTCTTGGTGAACAACTTGCTCATTCATTTGAGATCTCAGGAAGGCTCCACATTAAGAGTCACCCCATGCCCTATTTTGAGGGATTTTCCCTATGTCTAAAATTAAAATAGATCATCCAAACAAAGAATAAACCCAAGCCTGACATGATCAATAAAATCCATCATTCTTTACCTGTATTCTGAAAGAAAAAACAAGCACTTTTTAAAAACATAACTCAATACCCCTACCATGTATCATCAACAATTGTCCAAAATAAAATAAAAATTTGTGAGATAGTCAAAGAAGGAGGCAAATGAGACCCATAATCAAGCAAAAGAAGTCAGAAGACACAGATATCAAAATGATCCAGTTATTAGAATTTGCAGAAAATGAAACAAGCTGATGTAAGTATGTTCTCAAGTACTTATGGAAGCTACAATGAGAGAACATATGGCAAAGCTCCACAGAAAAAATAGAAGCTATAATAACAAAAGAACCAAATGGAAATGAAAACTACAACTTTGAAAGAATTGAAAACCATAACCCTGAAAGAAAAAAAAAATCATAGGTTGGGCTTAACAGCAGATTTGATATTGAAAAATAAAGGATCATGAATGGGAAGTATCCAATCTCAAGAAGAGGCAAAATAAGACTTTTTAGAAAACAAAAACCTCAGTGACTTGTGAGGTGTTAAAATAGTGTAATATATTACAATAAAACCTCAGGAAAAATAAGATAGAGAATAATTCAGGAGAAAAAAATTTGGAGAAATAATTTCTGAATTTTCCCTCAAATATAGCAAAAATTGTAAGCCTACACACCCAAGAAGCTCAGAAAATACCTAAAAATATAAATGCAAAAAATCATAGTAGGATTTTTTTTTAATCTGCTGAAAACCAAGCCTGCTGAAAAGCAGCCAAAGGGAAATGATACTTTATATACAGAGGGATTATTATATAAATTACAGCTGTCTCAAATCAGAAAAAATGATGATCAGAAAAAAAAAGGTGTAACCATTTAAAAGCACTCAGAGATAAAACAAACAAACAAACAAAACTCTTTAGAGCAACGAATTCATTTCCTAGGCCTACCGTAACAAACTACCACAAACTGGGTGGCTTAACACAACAGATGGCCACAGTTCTGGAAGCAGAAATCTCAAACCAAGGTGTTGGCAGGGTTGCTTCCTTTTGGAGGGAATAATGGAAAAGCCGTTCTATGCCTCTCTCCTAGCTCCAGGTGATTGCCAGCAATCCTTGGCATTCCTTAGCTTATAGACACCTCACTCCCATGTCTGCCTCCATCTTCCCATGGTGTTCTCTGTGTATTTCTCTGCATCCCCTCCTCTTCTGATAAGGAAGTCAGTCATAGGATTTGGGGCTCATCTTAAATCCAAGATGATTTTATCTGCAGATCCCCAATTAGGTGCATCTGCGAAGAAACTACTCCCGAAGAAAGTCACATTCTGAGGTTCCAGGTCACATGAATTTTAGGCGGATACGACTCAGCCCACTACAATCCAGAATTCTACATTCAGCCAAAATGGTTTTCAAAGATGAGACAAAATTAAAGACATTTTCAGGTAACGAAGCTGAAATAATTCTTTGCCAGCAAACTTGTACTACGAGAAATAAGGAAAACTCTTCAGATAGAATGAAAATAATACCAGATAAAAAATCAGAACTACAACACGAAATGGAGATGACTAACATGGTAAATATACGGGTAACTATGCAGGACTATGTATGTTTTTTCTTCTCCTAACAATCTTTAATAGACAACTGACTGCTTGGTAACATTTTATTGTGAAGTTAATAACATATGCAGAAGTAAAATACATGACAAAAACATGGATTAAATGAAATTATTGAGAGATTCCTTCATTTTCTATAAATCTTTAATTCTAAATATGCTGTAATAAATTAAGGAAGTATGTTATAATTCTTAGAGCAGCCACTAAAAATGTAGTAAGAGGTATAACAAAAAAGCCAATAGCTCCTCAAAAGAATAATAAATTGATACACCCATATCAAGACTGACCAAAGAAAAAAAGAGAAACAACACAAATTAGCAATGTCATGAATAAAATAGGGTATCTCACTAGAGATTAAAATGGCATTTAAAAGATTAAAACAAATGTTACAAGAACAATCAATCTCTTAAATAAAATTAATCAATTGTTTGAAAAATACACATACTAAAGTCAACACAAAACATAAGACTCCAAATAACGCTATTGCTGTGAAAGAAATAGAATTAACAAAAAATTTCCCCCTCAAAAAAGTCTGGTATATGTACATATATGTGTGCGTGTGTATATATATATGTGTGTGTGTGTATATATACATATATATACCTTTATGTATATAGGTATATATAGGTATATTTATATATACTCTATGTATATTTTTATGTATATACCTATATATATATACACCTTCATATATGTTATACATGTAAGAGAAGGTGTGTGTATATATATATATACATACACACATATATATACACATATACCAGAGTTTTTTATATGTAGGTATATATATAAAATATAAATATAAAAAATATATACAAATACAAATATTTATATATACACATATTTATACATTTATATATATTTATATATTATGTATTTATATTTTTTATATTTATAAATATATATATTTTACATATAGTTATATATTTTTATATATTTATATATTTGTAATATATTTATATTTATATATATTTTTACATTTATATTTTATATATACTTATATAACTATACAATCAATATATATTTTATATACTGTCTATAAATACATATTTTACATAATATATATAATTTTACATGATATATAAATATATATAATTTTATATGATATATAAATATATAATTTTATATAATATATTTATATATTTACAATATATTTTTACATATTTATATTTCTATATATTTTATATAATATATATTTATATATTTATATATATTTCACATAATATATATTTATATATTATATAATATATACTCATAATATATTATATATTATACAATGTATAATATAAATATATATTATGTTATATAATGTATTATATATTATATGTTATATAATTATATAATAATATATTATACAAGTATATTATAAAATATAATTATATTATACAAGTATATTATAAAATATAATTATATTATACAAGTATATTATAAAATATAATTATATTATACAAGTATATTATAAAATATAATTATATTATACAAGTATATTATAAAATATAATTATATTATACAAGTATATTATAAAATATAATTATATTATACAAGTATATTATAAAATATAATTATATTATACAAGTATATTATAAAATATAATTATATTATACAAGTATATTATAAAATATAATTATATTATACAAGTATATTATAAAATATAATTATATTATACAAGTATATTATAAAATAAAATATAATTATATTATACAAGTATATTATAAAATATAATTATATTATACAAGTATATTATAAAATATAATTATATTATACAAGTATATTATAAATATAATTATATTATACAAGTATATTATAAAATATAATTATATTATACAAGTATATTATAAAATATAATTATATTATACAAGTATATTATAAAATATAATTATATTATACAAGTATATTATAAAATATAATTATATTATACAAGTATATTATAAAATAAAAAAAAAATATAATTATATTATACAAGTATATTATAAAATATAATTATATTATACAAGTATATTATAAAATATAATTATATTATACAAGTATATTATAAAATATAATTATATTATACAAGTATATTATAAAATATAATTATATTATACAAGTATATTATAAAATATAATTATATTATACAAGTATATTATAAAATTATATATTATATAAGTATATTATAAAATTATATTATAAAATATAATTATATATATAATTATATTATAAAATATAATTATATTATAAAACAATTATATATAATTATATTACATAATATAATTATATATTACATATATAATTATATATAATATAATTTTATATGATTATGTAATTATATAGATAATATAATTATATCATTATTATATAATATAATTATATAATATACTTATGTAACATAATTTTATAATAATTATGTATTATACAATTATATAATTATGTAATTGTATATTATATAATTATATAAATTATACAGTATATAACTATATATTATGTAATATATGTCATATAATATATAGGGATATATTATATATTTATATATTATATGACATATGTTATATATTCTATAATATATATATTATATTATAGTTATATATTATATTATAGTTATATATATTATAGAGTTATATATTAAATATATGTTTATATATAATTATATATATTAATATATAGTAATATACTTATAAATATATATAAATATGTAGTTATATATTTATATATAATTATATACATTAATATGTAGTTATATATTTATATAATATATTAATATAATATATAAATAATATATATTATATAAATACATATTTTATAAAATATTATTTTAATATTATATAAATATATATTTATACATTAATACATATATTTTTATTATATATACATCATATATAAATATATAGGTGTATATATTTATATATACATCATATATAAAAATATAGGTGTATATATTTATATATACATTATATATAAATATATAGGTGTATATATTTATATATACATTACATATAAATATATAGGTATATATTATATATGAAGATATAGGCATATATATTTATATATATAGTACATAGAAATATATATACTATATATAATGTATATATAAATATATAGGTAGATATATTTATATATAATGTATATATAAATATATAGGTAGATATTTTTATATATACATTATATATAAATATATAAACATAAATTATATATAAATATATATAAATATATAAACAAATTATATATAAATATATAAAATTTATATATAAATACATATAATTTATATATATTTATATAAATTATATATCTAAGTATAAAATTTATATAAAAATCTATATAAATTATATATATAAATATATAAATATATATAAATTATATATAAATATATAAGTATATGTTAATTATATATAAATATATATACATTATATATAAATAATATATAAATTATATATAACTATATATAAATTATATATAATTTATATTTTTTACATATATATTATATGTATTACATATAATATATATTATATATAATATATATGTATTATATATATTATATAATATATATTATATATAATATATATTATATATATTATATAATATATATTATATATAATATATATTATATATATTATATATATGTTATATATATTATATATAATATATATTATATATAATATATATTATATATATTATATATAATATATTTATATATATATATAATATATATTATATATAATATATATTGTATATAATATATATAACATATATTATATATAATATATATTATATATAATATATGTATTATATATTATATATATTATACATTATATATATATTATATATTATATATATTTAATATATAATAAATATATACGATATATATGATATAATATATATTATATATAATATATAAGATCTTATTATATATAATATATAAGATCTTATTATATATAATATATAAGATCTTTTATATATAATATATAAGATCTTATTATATATAATATATAAGATCTTATTAATTAAATATATAAGATCTTATATATTATATATAGTATATAAGATCTATTATATTATATATAATATATAAGATCTTATTAATTATATATAATATATAAGATCTTATATATTGTATATAGTATATAATACATATATATTATATATTACACATTATATAATAGATTGTATATATTACACATTATATAATAGATTGTATATATTACACATTATATAATAGATTGTATATATTACACATTATATAATAGATTGTATATATTACACATCATATAATAGATTGTATATATTACACATTATATAATAGATTGTATATATTACACATTATATAATAGATTGTATATATTACACATTATATAATAGATTGTATATATTACACATTATATAATAGATTGTATATATTACACATTATATAATAGATTGTATATATTACACATTATATAATAGATTGTATATATTACACATTATATAATAGATTGTATATATTACACATTATATAATAGATTGTATATATTATACATTATATAATAGATTGTATATATTATACATTATATAATAGATTGTATATATTATACATTATATAATAGATTGTATATATTATACATTATATAATAGATTGTATATATTATATATTATATAATAGATTGTATATATTATATATTATATAATAGATTGTATATATTATATGTTATATAATAGATTGTATATATTATATGTTATATAATAGATTGTATATATTATATATAATATAATAGATTGTATATATTATATATAATATATATAATAGATTGTATAATATATATAATATATTGTATATATTATATATAATATATATAATAGATTGTATAATATATATAATATATAATATATTATATATAATATAGTATATATAAAGTATATAATTATATAAATATAATTATATATTTATATAAAGATATAAAATATATATACTTATATAGAGAGATATATATATACCTATATATAAAGGTATATGCATATAGGTATATATATATATATAAAAGGTATATGTACCTTCTCTTCTATTTTATATATATATGGGAGAAGGTATATATATACCTTCTCAGAAAAGAAAGAAAATCAGGTCCTTTACTAATTTTATGAAACCTCGTTTTAGCAGTTATTAAAATACTGAGAAAATATTACTTATAGAACAATTGCCTCATAGACACACATCCTTCATGAATACAGATGAAAAGACATACATTCTTCGTGAATACAGATTTAAAAAGTCTTTATTAAAACAGCAAATTGATTACAGCAATTTGTAAAAGGTATGATACATTTGAGCAAGTTAGATTTGTCCTACGAATGCAAGTTTGATATAACTTTTGGAAATCAATCAGTGTAATTTACCACAATAACAAAATCAAGAGCAACAGGATCACCACACACAAAAAAAGCATTTTAGAAATTCAGTACCAATTCTATCAAAAACTATCAGAAAACCTGAAATATAAGGAAAGTTCCTCAATATCATAAAGGACAACTATGAAAAACCTACAAGAAACATTACACTTATATCACACTTAATGGTGAAGGATCAAACGCTATCCATCTATGAGCAGGGCAAGCATTGTCGGTACTCACTCCTTCCAGAAAACATGGTTGAAGTTCCTAGTTAGTCATTGCATAAAAGAAGAAGAAAAATATGTAAAAAGTACAGAGCTTGAACACAAAGAAACAAAATTATCTTTATTTACATATGACATGATTATTCACATAAAAATTTTCAAGTAAACTCAAAGGAAATAAAACTACTAAAACCAGGAAGTGCATTTAGTCAGGTCTCAGGATAAGGGTTAATATATAAAAATCTATTTCATTTCTATATTCCTGCACCAAACAATTGGAAAAATAAATTTTATAAAGTTTTATTTTGAATATGATCAAAAATACTAAACCTACAGGGTTAGATTGAACAAAAATGTTCAAGAGCTTTGCAGACAAAACAAAATATTCCAGAGAAATTAAAGTATACCTAAATAAAGAGGGATTTGTACAATTTTCATGAATTGGAAGGGATAATTTCATAAAATGTAAATTTTCCCCAAAGCAATTGATGAATCTAATGTAATCCTAAACAAGATCCAATAAGCTTCTTTTTGGTAGAAATCAACAACTTACTCATAACACTTCTATGGAAAATCAAGAAAATAAAAACTCAGAATAACAAAACGTTCTTGGAAAATAGGAATAAACTCAGAGAATTCACACTACCAGATTACGTAGATTACTATAAAGCCAATGAAGACAGCGGGAATTTGGTACAAGGTAGACATACAGATTAGTTGTAAGAAACAGAATAGACTCCAGAAATAAAGTCACATATATGTGGTCAATAGCTTTTCAACAGAAGTGACAAGGCAATTCAATGAAGGAAATAAAAACCATTAAAAAAAATATCCTACAACTGGAAACCCATTTTAAAAATAAATGAGCAATGAGCTTCACTCCTACGTCAAACTACATATAGAAATTGTTTTTTATTAATTAAAATTACATCATAATTTGTGAATATATTCACCTATTTTGTTGGTTGTCTCTTTGCTCTGTTCATTGCTGTCTTTGCTGTGCAGAAGTTTTTTTTTTTAATTTCATATGATACCATTTGTCTGTATTTGCTTTTCTTGCCCATGCTTTTGTGGTTTTATTTTTAAAATCCTTGCCTAGAGCAATGTCTTGGAGCTTTTCCCTGTTTTTTACAAGTAGTTTTGTAGTTTGGGGTCTTACGTTTAATTCTTTAATACATTTTTAGTAGTTAATTTCTGTATATGGTGAGAGATAAGGGTCTAGTTTTGTTCTTCTGTATGTGAATATCCAGTTTTCCCAGCATTGTTTATTGAGGAAACTGTCCTTTCCCCATTGCATGTACTTGACATCTTTGTTGTATATCAGTTGTCTATAGATGCTTGGGTTTAATTCCAGTTTTATATTCTGTTCCATTGGTCTATGTTTCTGTTTCTATGACAGAGCCATGCTGTTTTAGAGACAACTGACAGAATAGAAGAATATATTTGCAAACTATACATCTGATAAGAGGCTAACATCTAAAATATATAAAAAACTCAAACAGCTCAACAACAAAACATTCAACAAAAAATGTGCAAAGGACCTGAATAGACATTTTTCCAGAGAAGACATACAGATGACCAACAGAAATAAAAAAAAAAATGCTTGACTTTATTAATCTCCAGGGAAATGCAAATCAAAACTACAATATCACCTGACTCCAGTCAGAATGACAATTTTTAAAAAATCGAAAGATGACAAGTGTTAGCAACAATGTGGTGAAAAGGGAATCCTTACACGCTGATGGTGAAAATGTAAATTAGCATAGCCATTATGAAAAACAGTATGGAGTTTCTTCAAAAAATTAAAAATGGAACCACCATATGATCCAGAAATCTCATTACATTTGGGTATATATTCAAAGAAAATGAAATCAGTATGTTGAAGAGATATTTGCACATCCATGTTTATTGCTGCAGTATTCACAATAGCCAAGATATGTAATCAACCTAAATATCCATCAACAGATTAATGGATAAAGAATACATTATATATATACACATTATATATATGTATATAATATATATACACATTATATATATGTATATATAATATATATATACACATATAGACACACAGTGGAATACTATTCAGCCATAAAAAATGAAATCCTGTCATTTGTAGCAACATGGATAAACCTGAATAACATTATGTTAAGTTAAACAACCCAGTCACAGAAAGACAAATATCACATGATCTCAATAATATGTGGAATCTAAGAAGTTGTCCTCACAGAAGTAGAGAGTAGAATAGTGGTTATCAGAGGATGGGGAGGGTTAGGGTGAGGGTGGGTGATGGTTAGAGATTGGTCAATGGGTACAAAGCTACAATTAGATACGAAAAATAAGTTCTGTCAGTCTATTGCATAGTCTGATGTATTGTATATTTCAAAATACCTAAAGGAGAGGTTTTTGAATCTCACAAAGAAATAATAAATTTCTCACAAAGAAATAATGTTTAATGTGATGGATATGCTAATTACCCTGATGTGATGATTACACAATTTATACATGTATCAAAACATCCTGTTGTTCCTCATAAATATGTACAATTATATAAAAATTATAAATAAAAAGATAAAATTACACTATAGAACTAAATATGAGGACTAAAATTATAAACCATCCAGATAAAAATTTGGGAGAATGTCTACAATTTGGGTGCAAAGATTTCTTAGTACACAAAAAGCAATACACTTAAGAATTAATTTTTCTCATTCTGTCATAATTTAAAACTTTCATGAAAAACACTGTTAACAAAATAATTCATAGTCTGAGAAAAAGTACATATACTTATATTTGAAAGATAATTTGTATCCTAAATAGCTAAATAATTTCTGCAAATCAATAATAAGTTGCCACAAGTTTTGACAGATACTTCATCAAACAAGATATTTAAATGATCAAAAATTACATGAGAAAATCTTAAATTATAAATTATTAGCCAAATGCAAATTAGAATAACAATGCAATACCACTTCACAATAACTAGAAATGCTAAAAATAAAAATAACGAAAACATCAAGTGTCAGATACATAACAACAAGAATTCCTATAGATTGCTGGTGAAAGCATAAGGTGATACAACTATTTTAGGAAACTCTTTGGCAGTTTCTTTTAAGTTTGAATATACTCCTAACCCAACAAGCCTGAAATTCTACTCTAAGGAGAAATAAAAACATATGTCCACAACATATATGTACAATATTGCTTATAAAAGCCCTATTTACAATAGCCAAAAACTAGGGGTAGGGGTAAGATCTCAAATGTATCAACTGGAAAAATAGATAAGTTGTATATTATTTAAATAATGGAATACTACTCAGCAATACAAAGGAATGAACCACTGTAAATGAAACAATATGGATGAACCTCAAAAATACGTTGAGTAAAGAAGTCAGACACAAGAGATCATAACGTATGTTTCCATGTATATAAAATTCACATACAAACAAATCTATGGTTATGTAAATCAGGAGAGTTGTGACATGTGGGCAGGAAGAATGACTGGCAGTGGGCATGGAAACTTTCAGAAGAAAGAAAAAATTCTATGTTGTGATCAGGATGTTGGTTAGATATGTACATAATCGTCAGATCTCCTGAAATTATACATTTGATATCTATATTTACTGTATGTAAATTATACTTCTATTTTTTAAAATATTATACCCTTAACCATAAAACACAAAAGAGCTTTAGAAAATTAAATATATTATAGCTAAAATTAAAATCTGACCAAAAATCGAGACAATAATGAGTCGGTATTAATTCCGAGAGGGGAACAAAAAAGAAAATGATGTGAAAAACAAAAGTTACCAGAAGAAGAGCATTAGAACAGTGGTTCTCAAAGGATATCTAGCAGCAGTAAGCCATACACTTGTTAGAAAAGGAAATTCTCAACCATCATCCCAACTTAATCAGTTACTGGAAGTGAAGCCAGCAATCTGTATGAAGAAGCCTCCAGGTGATTCTAATGCATGATAAAGTTTGAAAAATACTGAATTTGAGGTTCAATCTATGAAATCTGACTAATATACTCTCCAGAAAGAAAACAGAGAGATTATTGGGAAGGAAATTGTCAAGGAATGATATAACAGTTTCTTTTCTTTTTTCTTTTGAGATGGAGTCTCGCTCTGTCGCCCAGGCTGGAGTGCAGTGGCGCCATCTCGGCTCACTGCAAGCTCCGCCTCGCGGATTCACGCCATTCTCCAGCCTCAGCCTCCCAAGTAGCTGGGACTACAGGCACCTGCCACCACGCCCGGCTAATTTTTGTATTTTTAGTAGAGACGGGGTTTCACCATGTTGGCCAGGATGGTCTGAAACTCTTGACCTCGTGATCCGCCCGCCTCGGCCTCCCAAAGTGCTGGGATTACAGGCGTGAACCACTGTGCCCGGCGGAAATAACAGTTGCTGAGTAAACAAACGTGGTCTCTAACAAAAATGCAAAACAATAAAAATACAAAAACAAAAACCCAGGCCAAGACATATCATCATGAAAATTTTGAACATCAAATATTAAGGAAATATGTACAACCTTCCAGAGAGAAAAATCAGCACTGAAACTGAAATTAGGTAATTTTAAATGCTCAATATTAATGCCAAAGCTTGACAGAAATGGAACAATACTATAAGATTCTAAGGGAAAATAATTTCTTATCTATGGTTCTATACCTCACCTCCTAAAAAATCAAGCATAAGCATATAATAGAGGCACTGCTATTCAAGCAGTCTCAGAAGTGTCATTCCTTCATCTCTCTTTCTCAATATGTTATTAGAAGATATGCTTCTCATGAAGGAAAACATAAGCTGGCACAAAGGAAAATATCCCATCTATAAACAAGAGATATAAAAAGAAAGGGACAGATAATCCTCAGGAGGATTCTGGGGAGAAGTTTCAGGGTAAATCTTCCACTTATCCTGCATAGAAGCTGTGTGAAAGGCATAGACAGAAACCACTTAAGATTGTAACATGATGATAGAGGATTCCAGAAGGAGTTATGCGGTGAGTTTACCAATATGATAAATAGTACTGAGAGATTTCGATGATTCTGTTGAAGTGCTTGGGAAAAATTAATAAAGGAGATCAAAATACCAAAGGAGTAAAACAATTAGGCAATTGTCAACTCTAGGAAAATAATCAAAATTTATAGCTTTGTGGGTGCCACAGTGCCAGTGAGATTAGCTCTTTGGGGTTTCATTGTGGCTGACACATTTTGGACTATAATAGAGCATTTTGTCTGTGCTCTTTATATATATTCAGGTTGAGTATCCCTTATTAGAAATGCATAGAACCATAAGTATCTTGGATTTCAGATCTTTTTGGACTTTGAAATATTTACCTATACATAAGTGAGATATCTTTGAAATGAGACCCAAATCTAAACATAGGATTCATTAATGTTTCAAATACACCTTATACAGACAGCCTGAAGGTAATTTTATATAATATTTTTAATAATTTTGTGTATGAAACAAGGTTCTGACTGTGTTTTGACTGTAACTCATCACATAAGGTTAGGTGTGAAATTATCCACTTGTGACATCATGTTGCCATCAAAGAGTTTTGAATTTTGGTGCAGTATGGATTTCAAATTTTTAGACTAGGGATGCTTTATATGTAATACACACTTGACTTATGCTGTATGTTGTCTACCAAATAATTGGCAACATATTTCATTCTCAGTTCAAAATATTTATTTGTTCTTTCAACAGTCATTTAATGAGTTTCTTAAAGCACTAGAATTCCAGCTCAAGTTCTATAAGAGAGGACAAATAACAAATGTAATCAAGAGGAAAGAGAAGTTCAAGGTGATGTGGTTGCCAGATGTATGAATAACTGACTGCCAGGGTGGTCAGGGAGGGTTTCAGATAATTTAAAAAGTACTTTGTTCAAAACATATAAAATCAATATTTACTGTATTGATATGAATTCTATTTTTTCCCATAAAATCCAGAGAACATTCATGATATAAGATGGAAACCTAATTAGGTTTGGTCAACTTGGACTCAGTCAGGATTTCGAGTTGAATAGAATCATGGAGTAAGCAAAGTTCCATCCTGGAGGGATGACTCCTTATTTTGGTTCAGTATTTTACAAATCACTTTTATATCCACTCTCTCATTTAATTCTCACGATAATCCTGCAAATACTGTTATTCCTGTTTTATAAATGGGGCAGTTGAGAGCAAAACTATGTGATTTTTCCAGGTTTCAAGGCAGGATTTAAGGCCAGGTATTCATAATCTCAACCCTTTTACCTTCCTCGTAGTCACCTGTTTCATGCAAGCTCCCAACCTTCAGTATCATCCCTTCCCACCTACCCACCTAGCATTCCCAAATGTCAGAACTTATTCTGCCAGTCTGGAGGTCTCTACAAGAGAGCCCAGAATCAGCTGTTAACCCCTTCTGCCTCCACCTTCTCTGAAATTTGTCTCCCTGGCATTTATTTATTAAGAAAAAAGTAGTCAGAGTCATTTACAGAGACATCTTGGTAGTCTGAGAGGCTATTCCAGATGGGTATCTACTGAGAGAAATATTAAATGGCCCTGCAATTCTGTTTCTCCGCATATATTTTAACTGGTGTATGACAGATATAGTTCCCACTTAATATGTGTAAGACACTGTATTAAAAGCTGTATTCATGCATTATTAATTGTTTCCTTTAACAACTATTTATTGAGCACTAATTATATGCAAGGCACATTGCCAGATGCAAGGAACACCACGTTGTATAAGATAGGGTTCTTGTTTTTATTAAAATTTATAGTCTCATTTAATCTAACTTAATCTTTTAACTAGGCCCATCTCTATCAAGATGTATGCGTATTATTCCTATTTTACAAGTCCAAAAACTGAGCTTTGTAAAGGTAGACTGACCTGCATAGAGTAACATAAATAGTAAATAAATGTTGTAGTCCAAACTCAAACATAGCTGTATCTGATACAAAGCCATGTGCTCTTAAGAGCCAATCCTTGATAAGCATCTCAGAAAGATGACTGAAATAGCAAGATTTCCAGAAAATTAAAAAGAGTAAATAAGGGTGAGAATGCAGCAGGGCTCATCTTGATAGTAATAGTTACCATCTTGGCCTGCACATATTAGATATTCATCTAAGTCTTTTTTATAAATTATGTCCTCTAGTTCTTCAAGACAACCTCATGGTGTAGGTATCATAGATTTCATCCACAGGGTAGAAAATTAAGGTTCAGTGGGGTTAAACAATGTTTCCAAGTCAGACAGTAGGTAAGCAGCACATCTGGGACTCAGGTATAGGCCTCCATAACTCCAAATCCTTTGTTCTTAATTAGTAAGGCACACTGTCTTTTGAGTGAGAGATTTTGCTTTGAGACTTTTGCTCCATTCGTGTTGTTCTGCTTTGCCAGATTAAAGCTACCATGGGGCACACTCACTCTCTCTATATCCCTTCCTTAAGTTGTCTCAAACAGTGTGACATTCACCTGAGAGATGGGACAGGAGATTCCCACCTTAATCCTGGCCTGCCATGAGTGGGGTCCAGTCACTGGTAGAGTCACTTTTGCTCTCTGGGCCTCATCAGATTTTCAATCTGGTCACCAAGAGTCATGGCACCGGTGAGGAGAAATGTTTAGACTGTGACCTACTGATTAATGAAGCTGACGATCACACAGCCACCAGAAGCTTCTCACTCTTCAATTGAAGCAGGTAAAGACAGAGTCACTGTACTGTTCAGATACTTGGAAGGACACTGGAGGAAGTAACTTTCAGCATTTGTGTCAGGACATAAGGCCAGCAGCAGGAAAAGACACCACACTGGAAGGGAAGACACTGGGACCAGGATTGTTGGTAAGTAACGGGGAGGAAGACGGTGGGAACCAAGCACGGAAGGAGTATATGGAACTTACTGGATTATTTTTCCTAATAAAGTTTCTATTAAAAAATAGTTTTAAGCTTGAACAGCTAGCATACCTGGTAGCATATTTTTCTGGCTTCTGGGTGGGGACTAGAGTGAAGAAGAATTATCAACAATTAACAAGGCTCCCAAAAGCCATCTGTGCCCTTTGTCTTGTGAACAGCTCTTAACACAGAAATTACATGCTCAGCAAATTACAACCAACCAGGTAGGACAGCAATAAGCCTCTGAAAAGCTCCTTTGTACTGGGGAAAGAGGATTATTCCTCAATTATATTTAGTCAAACTCCTCCACTATACTTCCTGTCCTTCCTCAATGTCCCAGTGGGTGCTTGAACAAATAAGCCGAATCTGATAATAGTAGTGTTCCTTTACTACACTAGTGGAAAAAATTGATTTTTAAAAAAGCTCAAATGTAACTTCTTACTCAGCATACACAATTTAAAAAGAATTTCAAACAAAGGACTACGTGTACAGAAAGTATTGTGTTACAAAGAGGGTCCACTCTGAACTCCCAAAGCACACACATCTCAGGGTGCTCTGGGCCTGTTTTCTCATGTGCAAAATGAGATGGTTGTCCCAGAAAAATCTCATCCTTATGGTTCTTTCCAGGTCTGACATTCTGTAGGGATAGTAATACATTAAAGTTTATTTATCTCAAAAGGCCTGTAGGTAATAAACTTTCACTAAATACCAAAAATAATACAGAATGAAACTTTAATAGTTATCTAATCTCAGATACCTTGGAGAATATAAATTAGGAACAGGCATAGAAAATTGGAACAAAGAAATAACAGCCTTGATATTAATTGTCTTGCTTATCTGTCTAAAGCAGGGCTGAGGAACATATTTTGTTTGTTTTAGTTCATCAATTTCTTTTGTTCAGAGTAAGTATATGTTCAACAGAATAGAAGTGAATGCCGTTTTATTTTCTACTAATAACATCCAAGGATGTGACTTCATGATTGCTTTTTTGTTTTTGTTTTTTTTTGCCATTTAGAATGACTGGAACAAAAGGAAAATAACCAATTGAGAATGACTAATAGCATAAAAAGCAATGCTGAGATTTTGTTCTAGCTGATTCAAAATCTGAAGATTTGGAGATTTATGCTTGCCTGAAAAATGCTGCAGTGAAACACTAAGAGCCCAGAACACTTAGGATGACAAACTGTGAAATCACTCAAAGAAGGACTCATCAGCAGGTGCTAGGACCGAGATGGATAAAAAGAAAGATGCATAGGCCAAGTCCTATTATTCACACCTTCTAGAGTTTATGGTTTACTAATGAAAGCTTCTTGCATTAACCCTGGCCTGCAAAAACCCAGGACTGGAATGAAATGGCTATTTTTCAAGGCCATGCAATATAATTGATTGAAAGCAGACATACTGACATTAAAATCAATAGCACAGTAAAGAGCACATCGCAGTACCCTTTACATATTGCTACATAGTTCCTGCTCAATAAATAATACCAGAATAGCAGCAGCAGCAGCAGCACTAGTGGTAAAAGCAGTCATATTAGAAGTGGTGACCGTAGCAGTAGCTATTATTGTTATGGTATTAAGTGGGAGATAGAAGACAAGTGCACTACTAGGGACAATCTCCTCTTCCCCTCTTGCTCTCCAGTATCAAATAGTCAAGAATAATGGGAACTTTAGTAGGAGAAATAAACGGATTTATAATCTGTATGCCAGGTCTTAATGCAGTTACTTATATATACTGTCTTATTTCTATACTCCATATGGTAGGTAGTTTCAACTGCATGTTACGGATGAGGAAACAGGGTCAGGGAGTTGAAAAAATTTCTGCAAATTCACACAGTTGCTAAGTGGAGCAAATTAGGATGCAAAGCCTGATATGCCTGGTCTCAACCCATCATAGTGTCCCTTATCTGTATATCCTAAAATTTCAAGGACAGAATGACCCCGGTCTGTTACTTGTTTTACAATACAACAAGGCTATTTGGTAGGTATTATTATCCTAATTTAAGAGACCAGAAAAATGAAGTTCTGACTGGCAAAATGACTTTCTCAAAGTCACACAGTTCAGAAGTGGCAGAGTTGAGATTAGAAGACAGATCTATCCTCCATGATTGTTACAACAGCCACAATCTGGATGTAACAAGTCATATTAATGGTGGTGGTCATTGCTAATTTCTCCCATCACCCATACCTACCCTGCTGGCAAGGCCTGGTTTGTACCCTGACAACCATGTGTTTTGGGGAGGATCCTTCCTCAATCCTTTTTACTGATGGGCCTTATTACCTGCATACTGATTGGCTTAAGAATGGGTGGGGACAAATTTGAGCCTCTCTTGATGTGCAATAAGGCCAGGTGGCAGAGACCAGGGCAACAAGAGGTACAACCCTCAGGGCACTACTGGAAATGTTATTAGAAATAGTACTGAGCAGTGAAGGACGGCAGGGCTTCTGTGGGAAACAAGACAGATATGGATGTGGCAACCTCTGGAAAGTTGTGGAGACACAACATCCAGGAATTTCTGAAAGTGAAATTGACAATCAAAGCAAATTAGTAACCAATAATAGATCGACCTTAAAATCAAAGTACCAAACACACCCAGTTGCCTGTATTTTTTTTTTTTTACAAATTTTTTCAGTTATAAAATCTCTCTACAATGTTGAGTCTTGGTGATAATTTAATTGCCATTATTTTTCTTAAGAAGTATGTGGCTGGCTAGATCATGGGCTAGTACTCATCTATCTACTCATCTATCTAACCAGCTATACAGTGAGAGAAATGAGAAGCTTTAGCTTTTCTCTTCTATGGTTCTCAAACGTGCTGAGTAAACTAAGTGAGCAGTCTTACAGGTGGAGACTTAGTTCCTCAGATACTCTTTTTATTTTTAGTTCATTAGGTAATGTAGTGTGGAGTCAGATTGTTTACTTTTAGTCTCAGATCCACTGACTACTCATTGTAACCTTGGGCAAGTTTTCTGAATCTGTCTTGGTCACTACAATATGGTTTGCTATAAGGATTGAATGAGATCATCATGAAGGTAAAGCACCTATCACATAATAAGTGATCGATAGGTATCAGCTACTATTTTGATCATTGCCTTGCAGGGGTTCAGGATATGGAAATGTGTTAATCATACTCTTGTGGTGATTTAGATGCTTGTTAGATCTACTAAGGGGGATAAGACTCCAGGAGAGGAAAGTGAGTTACGAAAACATTACAAATCAAAGCTAATATTTGACTCTGCCAGTAAAGACAGCACCCAGTCATCCTAAAAGCTCCCTATCAGCTGTTGCGTGTTCCTAAGCTCCTGGCTCGGTTAAAAAAATGTCTTGAGTCTTAGAGAAGAAAAATGTTTCCAGTTGGGCTTTGGAGCCTTTGCATGAGGACAGTCTGAAGGCTTTTCCTTTCTCCTCCAGCCTCTGTTCCAAGTAAAATGTTAAGACTTTAACACTGGCCACTTGGGAGGTCTGGGCTTGTGCATCAGAGATAGAGATCCTTGTACTTTCAGCCATCCTTCCACCATATCCACCACCTCCCAATGGGGTAGCCCTTGTCTTCAGCTAATATTTCGGCAATGTGCAATCTCCATATAGAAAAAAGCAGCAGGGAAAAAAAGCAGCTTTGATTTCTGCACCTGAGCTGTCCACTGAATGCCAGCTTCCTTTGCCTACTTGGTAGCTAACAGAATTCTGGCAACAACAATAGCTAGCTTGTTTTGCAGCAATCCAAACTTTTATTGTCTAAACAGGCAGAGTATGGTAGAAAGTATGCTACATAGAGGACTTCAAAGACAAGCGCTCCAGGCTGTCCACCCTTGCAATGATTACTTTAACATCCTGAACCTCAGTTGTCTCACCTGGTAACAGTAGAATGAGACAACCTATTTCAACAGGTTATAATGAGGACTTATATTCTCAATAATGTAAGTCAGAATATCTGCCTAAAGAATCTACTCAGATGCCTGTGGAATCTAATGAAAATGATTGAAGACTTGAAATAAAGATAATTTTTGCTTGTGGTGAAAGGAAACATCTTCTGATTAACTTCTTCCTGGGGGAACACAGGCCGGGGCACAGATGTTCTCTCCCAGCTAAAGATCCATCTTGCTTCCTAACAGACCTTGATAAGTCCATGGTCACTTTCACCTCCACCTTCCTGAGATGCCACAAGGGGGAGCACTAATACTTATAGATGACCTATCAATGTGCACTTTAGTCCATTTTTGCCCCATCAGCTATTTCCTGGTGTAAAAATGTTTTCTTCCTTAAAAGCAGGTAGATTCAAGCAGAATAAAGAGAAACTTAAACTCAGCAAAGAAAACACCATAGTTTTGGCCTAGTTCTGACACTGACTTGCTTAAGTCCCCTAACCCCTTTGAGGACTCACTTTTCTTTATTTGCAAAATTTATTCAAAACTTGCTGGGCACGAATCTGGGTAATAATGATTCAGAAATGAAGAGATTTAATCCTGCCTTCAAAGAACCCACAGCAGGATGGATTAAGCAGACTTGCAAACCAACAGTTACAAAGCAAAATGATAAATGTTAATAGGGAAAGATCAGACACTTGGAAGAAGGTGCCCCTAGGGTTTCTTAAGAGTCATAAAAAGCTTCACAGACAAGGCAAAGCTTAACTTCGAATTTGAAGGAGGAGCAGCAGCTTGGTAGGTGAGAAAATGAAGATAAGCACTGCAAGCAGAGAGGATGAAATACACAACCATGGACATGAGAGAGGAAAGGTCAGTTTACTCAGAATACATTTAGGGGTAGGATCAGAATTCTTATCCATTGGTCTGTGAATACTTCATGTATGATATTGTACCTATGTGCATAAATGTACTTTTCAGTGGAGAAAATCCATTTAGTGATCTCATCATATTCTCAAATTAGTTGGTAATAAAGGATATATAATATATAGACACATACACACACACACACACAAACGCAAAGAGAGAGAGAGAGAGGAGTTATATAATTTCTAAGGTCGTATAATCCACTTCTTCATTATATTTATTCACAATTTTAAAAATGTGCATATAAAGCTACTATTCATGGGTCTCAAGGACATCTGTCTCTAGTTCTTTTCTTATTATGCTATGATTCATATTTTGCTGATTAACTATTACGTACCCTAGTCTTACACTGGCTTCTTTATAACTCCCTTGAAATCTGCATTTGTTTTAAGACCCCTGCTTTCAACAGCCTTGGACAATTTCAGCTCTGTCTCTATATGTTACCCAGATCTTTTGTTAAATTGTATTTTATATATATATATAATATATATTATATATATATATAATATATATTTTATAAAGAGGAAGGTCACCGCAATTCCCTGTGATTTCCTCTTTTTCAGACTGATATGGTTTGGCTATGTCCCCATCCAAATCTCATCTTGAATCATAGCCCTGGTAATTCCCACTTGTGGGAGGGACCTGGTAGGAGGTAATTGAAACATGGGGACATGTCTTTCCCATGCTATTCTTGTCACAGTGAATAAGTCTCATGAGATCTGATGGTTTTGTAAAGGGGAGTTTCCCTGCACAAGCTCTCTTCTCTTGTCTGCCGCCGTATGAGACATGCCTTTCACCTTCCTCCACGATTGTGTGGCCTCCCCAGCCACAAAGAACTGTGAGTCCATTACACCTCTTTCTTTTGTAAATTGCCTAGTCTTCGGTATATCTTTACCAGCAGCGTAAAAACGGAGTAATGCACAGACCTTCACCTTCCCCTATCAACTTTTTTCTGCCAGCTAATAACCCTGCTTCTTATTTCACTGAGCCAGTCTGTACCCGTATACACTTACTGCTAGACCTGTTATTATCAAAAGTCAACTCTTAAATTTAGTACTGCAGCACGTGCTTCTCATTTAAGGATATTTCTCTAGCATTGTCCACCCTTTTCCCACATCATCTTTTCTCTCTACTGAATTCCCCCCACTACCATTCAAACATAGTGAAATAGCTCTGATTTTAAAAGAAAATCCTCCCTTTATCCTTCCATCTCTCTTCTACAATAACCCCATTTATCTATTTTCCTTTATGGCAAAACACCTCAAAAGAGTTTTCTGTATCCATTGTCTCCATTTCTCATTTTGAACCTACTCCTGACATGTCTCTGTCCCTAGCAGAAAGCAGCGACAATAGCAAATTCTCAGTTCTCATATTAGAGCCATCCCTTGGTATCCATGGGGGATTGGTTCCAGGACCCCTGCAGCTACCAAAATCTATCATGTTCAAGTTTCTTATATAAAATTGTGTAATATTTGCATATAACCTCCATATACATACTTTAAATCATCTCTAGCTTACTTATAATATCTAATACAATGTAAATGCTAAATAGTTGTTACATCTTTAGAATTTGTATTTTTAAATTGTTATTGTTTATTTAAATATTTCAATCAGAGATTGATTGGTTGAATCTGAAGATGAGGAACCCCCACAGATGAAGAACTGACTGCATTTCACTCAACAGCAACATTGATATACTCAATTATTCCCATTTTTAAAACAATTTTTTTTATTTTTGGAAGGACATTTCATTTTTTTCCATTTCCCTCCTACCTCACTGACCACTTCTTTTCTATTTTCTTTGATGAATTATTTTTATCTTCTAAAAAATGAAGTACTCTGCAATTCATATTTTTTTTCCTCTTCTCTTCTCTAACCACACTATACTCTTTTCCTAACTGATTTCCATAAACTGGAAATACACCTTCACTTGGATGATTAACAGGTAACTCAGTTTTTAAAATTTTTCCACCTATACCACAAACCTGCTCCATCCCTAGTTTCTCTATCTTTGTAAATGGTACCATAATTGACCAAGTTCCACAGATCAAATATCTTAGAGTCATCTATGACTTTTTTTCTTTCATAGAAATGCACATCCAATCTGCCAGCACATCCTCTCAGCTTTCTCTGTGAAATACACCCAGAGTCCAATTCATTCTCACCATTTCTGCTACCACCACACTGCTCTAAGGCATAATGGTTGCCAGGACCCCTGCAACTTGCAATAGCCTTCTAGCTATTCTGTTTCCACCTTTTCTCCTTAATCCCAAGCAATAAATGGAATCCTTTAAAATGTAAATCATATAATATCATTCCCTGCTATCAACACTCAAAATGCCTCCCATCTAAAGTTCTTAAAATGGCTCACAAGGAAAAATACAGCCCCTATGTACTTCTCTGAACTCATATTCTATCAGCCTCCCTGTTTCTCCTACTCTTTGAATACCTCCCAGATGCACTCCTACTTCAGTCTCTTTATGTTACAGCCTTCTCTACTAAGATGATATTTAACAGAAAATTTATGACACTCATTTTCACTTCATTCAGTCTCTGCCCAAATATAACCTTCCCTATGAGTCTTGTATGACCTATCTAAAATATCACCTCAATTTTCTCTTTTTTCGGTCCTAGAATTATCCATATGATAGTACTTAATATAAATGTTTGTGGTCTATCTCCTCCAAACACACAGGTCTTTGAATCATGAACTTCTCTCTAATTCAGCACTGTAGACATACACATAGACCAGTGCCTGGTGTATGGTTCTCATTTAATGAGTATATATGAAATGGGTTAGAGAGAGCAGAGGTAAATGAGTCTTTGAGACAACTTGAATGTAGGCCTTACCCTCAAAGGTTCTCTAACTGAAGATATTGACAAGTAACTTTGGCCATTTGTATCAGGGTATATAAAATGAAAAGACATAGAGGAGCTGAATAGATAAAATCAAGACCCAATGATCTCTTGTCTACAAGAAACACACTTCACCAATAGAGACACACATAGACTGAAAATAAAGACATGGAAAAAGAGCCAATGAAAACCAAAAAAGAGCAGAAGTAGCTCTACATATATCAGACAAAATAGATTTCCAGACAAAAACTGTAAGAAGAGACAAAGAAGGTCATTATATAATGATAAAGGAGTCAATTCAGCAAGATGATATGATAATTATACATTTATACGCTCCCAACACTGGAGCACCCAGATATATAAACCATTTATTATTAGAGCTAAAGAGAAATAGACTCCAATACAATAATACCTGAAGACTTCAGCACCCCACTTTCATCACCAGACAGGTATCCCAGACAGAAACTCAACAAAGAAACATCGGACTTAATCTGCACTACAGAACAGATGGACTTAATAGATATTTACAGAACATTTCATCCAATGGCTGCAGAACACACATTTTTCTCCTCAGCACATGGATTATTCCCTTGAACAGACCATATATTAGGTCACAAATGTGTTAAAACATTAAAAAATTGAAATAATATAAAGCATCTTCTCTGAACACAATCGAATGAAACTAGAAATCAATAACAAGAGGACTTTTGGAAATGATAAAAACATAAGGAAATTAAACAATATGCTCCCAAACAACCAGTGGGCCAATGAAGAAATTAAGAAGGAAATTGATAAAAATTTCTTGAAACAAATGATAATGAAAACAGAACATATGAAAACCTAAGAGATACAACAAAAGCAGTATTAAGAGGGAAATTTATAGTGAAAAGTGCCTACATCAAAAAAGAGGAAAAATTTCAAAGAAATAACCTAATGATGCGTCTTAAAGAACTAGAAAACCAAGAGCAAACCAAACCCAAAATTAGTAGAAGGAAATAAATAATAAAGATCAGAGCAGAAATAAATGAATTTGAAAAGAAGAAAGTAATACAAAAGATCAACAAAACAAAAAGTTGGTTTATTGAAAAGATAAAATTGACAAAACTTTAGCCACACTAAGAAAGAGAGAAGACCCAAATAAGTAAAATCAGATGAAAATGGAGACATTACAACTGGTACCACAGAAACTCAAAGGATCATTAGTGGCTGCTGTCAGCAACTATATGCCAATAAATTGAAAAGTCTAGATGAAATAGATAAATTCCTAGACACATACAGCCTACCAAGATTGAACCATGAAGAAATTAAAAACCAAACAGACCAATAATAAGTAATAAAATCTAGGCCATGATAAAAAGTCTTCCAGTAAAGGAAAGCCCAGGACCCATTGGCTTCACTGCTGAATTTTACAAAACATTTAAAGAAGAACTAATACTAATCCTACTCAAACTGTTCCTAAAAATAGAGAAAGATAATTTATTTATTTATTTATTTATTTATTTATTTATTTATTTATTTTGAGACAGAGTTTTGCTCCGTCACTCAGGCTGAGGTGCAGTGGCACGATCTTGGCTCACTGCAACCTCTGCCTCTCGGGTTCAAGCGATCCTCATGCCTCAGCCTTTCAAGAGCTGAGACTACAGACCTACGCTCAACTAATTTTTGTATTTTTAGTAGAGGCAGGGTTTCACACTGCTGAGGTTGCAGCGAGCTGAGATCATGCCACTGCACTCCAGCCTGGGTGACAGAGCAAAACTCCATCTCAAAAAAAAAAAAAAAAGTATTCTTTTTTTATTTTCAAATTCCTGACCTAAAGTGATCCACCCACCTTGGGCTCCCAAAGTACTGGGATTACAGGCATGAGCCACTGCACCTGGCCAAGAAAGAGAATACTTTCAAACTCATTCTATAAAGCCAGTATTAAATGGATATCAAAACCAGATAAAGACACATCAAAAAAAGAAAACTACAGGCCAATATCTCTGATGAATGATGGTGCAAAAATCCTTAACAAATACTAGCAAACAGAATTCAACAACACATTGGAAAGATCATTCTCCATGACAAAGTGGTATCCCAGGGATGTAAGGATGGCTCGACATGCAAATCAATCAATGTGATAGATCATATCAACAGAATGAAGGATAAAAATCACAAGATTATTTCAACTGATGCTGAAAAAGCATTTGAACTAATTTAACATCACTTTATGATTAAAAAAAAACCCTCAAAAAAAAAAGAGTACAGAAGGAACATATCTGAATGTAATAAAAGCTGTATATGACAGACCCACAGCTAGTATTGTACTGAATGGGGAAAAACTGAAAATCTTTCCTCTTAGATCTGGACACAATAAGATGCCCACTTTCACCACTGTTATTCAATATAGTACTGGAAATTCTAGCTAGAGCAATCACACAAGAAGAAGAAATAAACGGCATCCAAATTGGAAAGGAAGAAGCCAAACTATTCTTATTTGCAGATGACATGATTCTGTATTTGGAAAAACCTAAAGACCCCACAAAAAAAAAAAAAAAAAAAAACAACTATTAGAACTGATAACCAAATTCAGTAAAGTTTGCTAAGGATAATGGCCTCCAGCTCCACTCATCTCCCTGCAAAGAACATGATATCATTCTTTTTTATAGCCATACAGTATTCCATGGTGTATGTGTACCACATTTTCTTTACCCAGTCTATAGTTGATGGGCATTTAGGTTGATTCCATGTCTTTACTATTGTGAACAGTGCTGCAATGAACATATGCATGCATGTGTCTTTATAATACAATGATTTATATTTTGGGGGGAACAGAAAAACAAATACTTCATGTCCTCACTTATAAGTGGGAGTTAAGTGATGAGAACACAGGGACGCACAGAGGGGCACAACACACACTGGGCCTTTTGGAGGGTATAGAGTGAGAGGAAGGAGAGGATCAGGAAAAAGAACTAATGGGTGTTAGGCTTAATAACTGAGTGTGACAAAATACTCTGTACAACAAACCCTGATGACATAAGCCTACCTATGTAATAAACTTGAGCTTGTACCCCTAAACATAAAAGTTAAAAAAAATGAGAGAAAAATGTTAGTTAATATTTTAAAAAATTAAGTAAAGTTGTAAGGATACAAAAACATCATACAAAATCAGTAATATTTCTATATCCCAAAGGCAAAAATCTGAAAAGTAATAAAAAATGTTTTTCCATTTATAATAGTAACAAATAAAATTAAATATCTAGGAATTAATGAAAGAAGTGAAAGCTCTCTACAAAAAAAAAACCTACAAAACACTGATAAAAATCTAAAAGAATACTAAAAAAGTAAATATATTCCATGTTAATGGACTGGAAGAATCAATGTTGTTAAACTGTCCATATTACCCATAGCAATATACAGATTCAATTAATTCCCTATCAAGATACTAATGACATTCATCACAGAAATAGAAAAAAAAATACTAAAATTTCTATAGAATCACAAAAGGACCAGAATAGCCAAAACTATCCTAAGCACAAAGAACAAAACTGGAGGAATTACATTACCTGACTTCAAATTGTGCTACAGAGCTATACCAAAACAGCATGGTCCTGGCTTAAAAACAGACCCATAGACCAAAGGAACAGAATAGAGAACCCAGAAACAAATCTAAACACCTACAGTAAACTCATTTTTGACAAAGGTGCCAAGAACATACATCAGAAAAAATACAATCTCTTCAATAAATGATGCTGGGAAAACTGGATATCCCTATATAAAAGAATGAAACTTGATCCATATCTCTCACCTTATACAAAAATCAAATCAAAATGAATTAAATACTGAAATCTAAGACCTCAAACTATGAAACTTCTGTGAGAAAACATTGAGGAAACTCTCCAGGACATTGATCTGGGCAAAAATTTCTTGAGCAATACCCCACAAGCACAGGCTACTAAAGCAAACATGAACAAATGGGATCACATCAACCTAAAAAGCTTTTACATAGTGAAGGAAACACTCAAAAAAGTGAAGAGATAACCAGTAGAATGGGAGAAAATATTTACCTATTACCCATCTGACAAGGGATTAGTAATAACCAGAATATAAAGGAGCTCAAACCACTCTAATAATTTGATAAAATAAATGGGCAAAAGATTTGAATAGACATTTCTCAAAAGAAGATATACAAATGGTAAACAGGGATATGAAAAGGTGCTCAACATCATTAATCATCAGAGAAATGGAAATCAAAACTATAATGAACTATCACCTCACCCCAGTTAAAATGGCTTTTATTCAAAAGTCAGGCTATAGCAAATGCTGGGGAAGATATGGAGAAAAAGAAACTCATATACTTCTGATAAGAATGTATATTAGTACAACCACTATGAAGAACACTTTAGAGGTTCCTCATAAAACTGAAAACAGGGCTACCACGTGATCCAGCAATTCCGTTGCTGGGTATATACCCAAAAGGAAGGAAATCATTTTATCAAAGAGATATCTACATTTCCATGTTTGTGGTAGCTCTGTTCATAATGGCCAAGATTTGGAAGCACCCTAAGAGTCCATTAGCAGATGAATGAATAAAGAAAATGTGTAATGTAGTACTATTCAGCTATAAAAAAGAATGAAATTCTGTCATTTGCAACAACATGGAAAGAACTGGATGAAATAAACCAGGCACAGAAAGACAAACATCTCATGTTCTCACTTACTTATGGGATCTAAAAATCAAAACGATTGAACTCATGGAGATACAGAATAGAAGGATGGTTGGCAGAGAATGGGAAAGGTAGTGTGGGGTGGGGTGGAGATGGAGATGATTAATGGGCACAAAAAAAATAGTTAGAAAGAATGAATAGATCCTAGTATTTGACAGCACAACGGAGAGACTAGAGTCAATAATGACTTAATCATACATTTAGAAATAACCAGAAGAGTATAAATGGATTGTTTATAACACAAAGTATAAATGCTTCAGGGGATGAATATCCAATTTTCCATGATGCGATTATTACATATTGTATGCCTCAACCAAAATATCGCATATATCTCATATTTACACCTACTATGTAGGTGGCTGTGTAGTATTCCATCATATATGTGATATACATATGAGATATATATTATAATTATATTGTGTATATAACTTATGTATATAACTATATATATTATATATAGTCACATTTTTTAATCCAATCCATCATTGATGGGCACCTAGCTTGATTACATGTCTTTGCTACTGTGAATAGTACAGCGATGAACACATGAGTGCATGTGTCTTTTTGGTAGAATGATGTAGTTTCCTTTGGGTATATACCGAGTAACGGGATTGCTAGGTCAAATGGTAGCTCTGCTTTACGCTCTTTGAGAAATCTCTAACCTACTTTCCACAGTGGCTGAACTCATTTATATTTTCACCAACAGTGTATGTGTTCCCTTTTCTCTGCAGCCTTGCCAAATCTGTTGTTTTTTGACTTTTTAATAATAGCCATTCTGACTGGTGTGAGATGCCTCATTGTGGTATTGATTTGGATTTTTCTGATAATAAGTGATATGGAGCATTTTTTTCATATGTATGTTGGCTACTTATATGTCTTCTTTTGAAAAGTGTTCAGTCTTCTGCCCACTTTTTAATGGGGCTGTGTGTTTTTTGCTTGTTCAATTATTTAAATTCCTTATAGAGTCTGGATATTAGACATTTGTCAGATGCATAGTTTACTAATATTTTTTCCCATTCTGTAGGCTGTCTGTTTACTCTATTGACAGTTTATTTTGCTGTGTGGAAGCTCTTTCATTTAATTAGGTCCCATTTGTCAATTTTTTTGTTGCAGGTGATTTTGAGGACTTACTCATAAATCATTTCCAAAGGCCAATCTACAGAATGGTGTTTCCTATGTTTTCTTCTAAAGATGGAGTCTCGCTGTGTCGCCAGGCTGGAGTGCAATGGCGCGATTTTGGCTCACTGCAACCTCTGCCTCCTGGGTTCAAGCTATTCTCCTGCCTCAGCCTCCTGAGTAGCTGGGATTACAGGCACGCACCACCACGTCTGGCTAATTTTTGTATTTTTAGTAGAGACAGGGTTTCACCATGTTGGTCAGACTGGTCTTAAACTCCTGACAAAATTAAAGATATGGAAAATAGATTAGTGGTTGCCAGGTGTTGGGGATGTGGAAGGTAGATGTGGTTATAAAAATGCAACACAACAGCCAGGTGCGCTGGCTCACACCTGTAATCCCAGCACTTTGAGAGGCCGAAGCTGGCGGATCACGAGGTCAGGAGATCGAGACCATCCTGGCTAACACAGTGAAATCCCGTCTCCACTAAAAAAACAAAAAATTAGCTGGGCGTGGTGGAGGGCACCTGTAATCCCACCTACTCAGGAGGCTGAGGCAGGAGAATGGTGTGAACCCGGGAGGCGGAGGTTGCAGTGAGCCAAGATCGCTCCACTGCACTCCAGCCTGGGCTACAGAGCGAGACTCTGTCACAAAAAAAAAAAAAAAAAAAAAAAAAGGAAAAGAAATGAAACTCCTGACCTCATGATCCGCCCGCCTCAGCCTCCCAAAGTGCTGGGATTACAGACATGAGCCACTGCACCCGGCCGTTTTCTTCTAAAATTCTTATAGGAAAAGTGTTGTTTATAGAAGAATGACAACTAGTAAATGCAGAAGTTTTCAAAAGCCATTTTACAACCACCACAGTAATAATTGATTCAGAGAAATCATTAATTGGTACTAAAATCAACAGGTGAAAGTTAATTGGAGAATAGGATATTCAGGTGGTTGTCAAAAATATATAATCTGAATCAAATCTCGAGATAACAAAGCTGGCAAATCTAAATTGTGAGACATTTTACATAATTGGCCTGGATACTCATTTTTCAGTTCAATGTTTATATATAAAAATACAATTGATTTTTGCGCAATGACCTCACATTTTTTAAATTGACACTGAGTTTGCTAAATTCATGCATTAATTCAAAAATATTTTTGATAACAATCAGACCATTAAAATAAAATAAACGAAGATTTTATAGATATTCTTTACTAGCTTGAGAAAGTTTCCTTTCTATTTCTAGTTTTCTGAGTTTTTTTTAAATTGTGGTGCATATTAACTTTTGTCAAAGTTTTTTTTTGCATCCATTAAGAAAGTATTTGAGATAACGATCTCAAAATGGCTGAATAGGAACAGCTCCAGTCTACAGCTCCCAGTGTGAGCGACGCAGAAGACGGGTGATTTCTGCATTTCCATCTGAGGTACTGGGTTCATCTCACTAAGGAGTGCCAGACAGTGGGCGCAGGTCAGTGGGTGCGTGCACCGTGTGCGAGCCTAAGCAGGGTGAGGCATTGCCTCACCTGGGAAGCACAAGGGGTCAGGGAGTTCCCTTTCCTAGTCAAAGAAAGGGGTGACAGACGGCACCTGCAAAATTGGGTCACTCCCACCTGAATACTGCGCTTTTCTGACGGCCTTAAAAAACGGCGCACCAGGAGATTATATCCCGCAACTGGCTGGGAGGGTCCTACGCCCATGGAGTCTCGCTGATTGCTAGCACAGCAGTCTGAGATCAAACTGCAAGGCGGCAGCGAGGCTGGGGGAGGGGCGCCCGCCATTGCCCAGGCTTGCTTAGGTAAACAAAGCAGCTGGGAAGCTCCAACTGGGTGGAGCCCACCACAGCTCAAGGAGGCCTGCCTGCCTGCCTCTGTAGGCTCCACCTCTGGGGGCAGGGAACAGACAAACAAAAAGACAGCAGTAACCTCTGCAGACTTAAATGTCCCTGTCTGACAGCTTTGAAGAGAGCAGTGGTTCTCCCAGCATGCAGCTGGAGATCTGAGAATGGGCAGACTGCCTCCTCAAGTGGGTCCCTGACCCATGACCCCTGAGCAGCCTAACTGGGAGGCACCCCCCAGCAGGGGCAGACTGACACCTCACTCGGCCTGGTACTCCTCTGAGACAAAACTTCCAGAAGAACGATCAGACAGCAGCATGCACGGTTCAAGAAAAACCACTGTTCTGCAGACACCGCTGCTGATACCCACGCAAACAGGGTCTGGAGTGGACCTCTAGCAAACTCCAACAGACCTGCAGCTGAGGGTCCTGTCTGTTAGAAGGAAAACTAACAAAAAGAAAGGACATCCACACCAAAAACCCATCTGTTCATCACCATAATCAAAGACCAAAAGTAGATAAAACCACAAAGATGGGGAAAAAACAGAACAGAAAAACTGGAAACTCTAAAAAGCAGAGCGCCTCTCCTCCTCCAAAGGAATGCAGTTCCTCACCAGAAACGGAACAAAGCTGGAAAGAGAATGACTTTGACAAGCTGAGAGAAGAAGGCTTCAGACGATCAAACTACTCCGAGCTACAGGAGGAAATTCAAACCAAAGGCAAATAAGTTGAAAACTTTGAAAAAAATTTAGAAGAATGTATAACTAGCATAACCAATACAGAGAAGTGCTTAAAGGGGATAATGGAGCTGAAAGCCAAGGCTCGAAAACTACATGAAGAATGCAGAAGCCTCAGGAGCCGATGCGATCAACTGGAAGAAAGGGTATCACCGATGGAAGATGAAATGAATGAAATGAAGCGAGAGGAGAAGTTTAGAGAAAAAAGAATAAAAAGAAATGAACAAAGCCTCCAAGAAATATGGGACTATGTGAAAAGACCAAATCTACGTCTGATTGGTGTACATGAAAGTGACAGGGAGAATGGAACCAAGTTGGAAAACACTCTGCAGGATATTATCCAGGAGAACTTCCCCAATCTAGCAAGGCAGGCCAACATTCAGATTCAGGAAATATAGAGAATGCCACAAAGATACTCCTCGAGAAGAGCAACTCCAAGATACATAATTGTCAGATTCGCCAAAGTTGAAATGAAGGAAAAAATGTTAAGGGCAGCCAGAGAGAAAGGTCGGGTTACCCTCAAAGGGAAACCCATCAGACTAACAGCGGATCTCTCGGCAGAAACTCTACAAGCCAGAAGAGAGTGGGGGCCAATATTCAACATTCTTAAAGAAAAGAATTTTCAACCCAGAATTTCATATCCAGCCAAACTAAGCTTCATAAGCGAAGGAGAAATAAAATACTTTACAGACAAGCAAATGCTGAGAGATTTTGTCACCACCAGGCCTGCCCTAAAAGAGCTCCTGAAGGAAGTGCTAAACATTGAAAGGAACAACCGGTACCAGCTGCTACAAAATCATGCCAAAATGTAAAGACCATCGAGACTAGGAAGAAACTGCATCAACTAACGAGCAAAATAACCAGCTAACATCAAAATGACAGGATCAAATTCACACATAACAATATTAACTTTAAATGTAAATGGGCTAAATGCTCCAATTAAAAGACACAGACTGGCAAATTGGATAAAGAGTCAAGACCCATCAGTGTGCGGTATTCAGGAAACCCATCTCACATGCAGAGACACACATAGGCTTAAAATAAAAGGATGGAGGAAGATCTACCAAGCAAATGGAAAACAAAAAAAGGCAGGGTTTGCAGTCCTAGTCTCTGATAAAACAGACTTTAAACCAACAAAGATCAAAAGAGACAAAGAAGGCCATTACATAATGGTAAAGGCATCAATTCAACAAGAAGAGGTAACTATCCTAAATATATATGCACCCAATACAGGAGCACCCAGATTCATAAAGCAAGTCCTGAGTGACCTACAAAGAGACTTAGACTCCCACACATTAATAATGGGAGACTTTAACACCCCACTGTCAACATTAGACAGATCAACGAGACAGAAAGTCAACAAGGATACCAGGAATTGAACTCAGCTCTGCACCAAGCAGACCTAATAGACATCTACAGAACTCTCCACCCCAAATCAACAGAATATACATTTTTTTCAGCACCACACCACACCTATTCCAAAATTGACCACATACATGGAGGTAAAGCTCTCCTCAGCAAATGTAAAAGAACAGAAGTTATAACAAACTATCTCTCAGACCACAGTGCAATCAAACTAGAACTCAGGATTAAGAATCTCACTCAAAACCACTCAACTACATGGAAACTGAACAACCTGCTCCTGAATGACTACTGGGTACATAACGAAATGAAGGCAGAAATAAAGATGTTCTTTGAAACCAATGAGAAAAAGACACAATGTACCAAAATCTCTGGGACACATTTAAGGCAGTGTGTAGAGAGAAATTTACAGCACTAAATGCCCACAAGAGAAAGCAGGAGAGATCTAAAATTGTCAACCTAACATCACAATTAAAAGAACTAGAAAAGCAAGAGCAAACACATTCAAAAACTAGCAGAAGGCAAGAAATAACTAAAATCAGAGCAGAACTGAAGGAAATAGAGACACAAAAAACTCTTCAAAAAATTATTGAATCCAGAAGCTGGTTTTTTGAAAGGATCAACAAAATTGATAGACTGCTAGCAAGACTAATAAAGAAAAAAAGAGAGAAGAATCAAATAGACGCAATAAAAAATGATAAAGAGGATATAACCACCGATTCCACAGAAATACAAACTACCATCAGAGAATACAAAAACACCTCTACGCAAATAAACTAGAAAATCTAGATGAAATGGATAAATTCCTCAACACATACACTCTCCCAAGTCTAAACCAGGAAGAAGTTGAATCTCTGAATAGACCAATAACAGGAGCTGAAATTGTGGCAATAATCTATAGCTTACCAACCAAAAAGAGTCCAGGACAAGATGGATTCACAGCCCAATTCCACCAGAGGTACAAGGAGGAACTGGTACCATTCCTTCTGAAACTATTCCAATCAATAGAAAAAGAGGGAATCCTCCCTAACTCATTTTATGAGGCCAGCATCATCCTGATACCAAAGCGGGGCAGAGACACAACCAAAAAAGAGAATTTTAGACCAATATCCTTGATGAACATTGATGCAAAAATCCTCAATAAAATACTGGCAAACCGAATCCAGCAGCACATCAAAAAGCTTATCCACCATGATCAAGTGGGCTTCATCCCTGGGATGCAAGGCTGGTTCAATATACACAAATCAATAAATGTAATCCAGCATATAAACAGAACCAAAGACAAAAACCACATGATTATCTCAATAGATGCAGAAAAGGCCTTTGACAAAATTCAAAAACGCTTCATGCTAAAAACTCTCAGCAAATTAGATATTGATGGGACGTATCTCAAAATAATAAGAGCTATCTATGACAAACCCACAGCCAACATCATACTGAATGGGCAAAAACTGGAAGCATTCCCTTTGAAAACTGGCACAAGACAGGGATGTCCTCTCTCACCACTCCTATTCAACATAGTGTTGGAAGTTCTGGCCAGGGCAATTAGGCAGGAGAAGGAAATAAAGGGTATTCAATTAGGAAAAGAGGAAGTCAAATTGTCCCTGTTTGCAGATGACATGACTGTATATCGAGAAAACCCCATTGTCTCAGCCCAAAATCTCCTTAAGCTGATAAGCAACTTCAGCAATGTCTCAGGATACAAAATCAATGTACAAAAATCACAAGCATTCTTATACACCAATAACAGACAAACAGAGAGCCAAATCATGAGTGAACTCCTATTCACAATTGCTTCAAAGAGAATAAAATACCTAGGAATCCAACTTACAAGGGATGTGAAGGACCTCTTCAAGGAGAACTACAAACCACTGCTCAAGGAAATAAAAGAGGATACAAACAAATGGAAGAACATTCCATGCTCAAGGGTAGGAAGAATCAATATCGTGAAAATGGCCATACTGCCCAAGGTAATTTACAGATTCAATACCATTCCCATGAAGCTACCAATGACTTTCTTCACAGAATTGGAAAAAACTACTTTGAAGTTCATATGGAAGCAAAAAAGAGCCCGCATCGCCAAGTCAATCCTAAGCCAAAAGAACAAAGCTGGAGGCATCACACTACCTGACTTCAAACTATACTACAAGGCTACAGTAACCAAAACAGCATGGTACTGGTACCAAAACAGAGATATAGATCAATGGAACAGAACAGAGCCCTCAGAAATAATGCCGCATATCTACAACTATCTGATCTTTGACAAACCTGAGAAAAACAAGCAATGGGGAAATGATTCCCTATTTAATAAATGGTGCTGGGAAAACTGGCTAGCCATATGTAGAAAGCTGAAACTGGATCCCTTCCTTACACCTTATACAAAAATCAATTCAAGATGGATGAAAGACTTAAATGTTAGACCTAAAACCATAACAACCCTAGAAGAAAACCTAGGCATTACTATTCAGGACATAGGCATGGGCAAGGACTTCATGTCTAAAACACCAAAAGCAATGGCAACCAAAGCCAAAATTGACAAATGGGATCTAATTAAACTTAAGAGCTTCTGCACAGCAAAATAAAGTACCATCAGAGTGAACAGGCAACCTACAAAATGGGAGAAAATTTTTGCAACCTACTCATCTGACAAAGGGCTACTATCCAGAATCTACAATGAACTCAAATTTACAAGAAAAAAACAAACAACCCCATCAAAAAGTGGGCGAAGGAAATGGACAGACATTTCTCAGAAGAAGACATTTATGCAGCCAAAAAACACATGAAAAAACGCTCGCCATCACTGGCCATCAGAGAAATGCAAATCAAAACCACAATGAGATACCATCTCACACCAGTTAGAATGGCAATCATTAAAAAGTCAGGAAACAACAGGTGCTGGAGAGGATGTGAAGAAATAGGAACACTTTTACACTGTTGGTGGGACTGTAAACTAGTTCAATGATTGTGGAAGACAGTGTGGCGATTCCTCAGGGATCTAGAACTAGAAATACCATTTGACCCAGCCATCCCATTACTGGGTATATACCCAAAGGATTATAAATCATGCTGCTGTAAAGACACATGCACACATATGTTTATTGTGGCATTATTCACAATAGCAAAGACTTGGAACCAATCCAAATGTCCAACAATGATAGACTGGATTAAGAAAATGTGGCACATATACACCATGGAATACTATGCAGCCATAAAAAATGATGAGTTCATGTCCTTTGTAGGGACATCGATGAAATTGGAAATCATCATTCTCAGCAAACTATTGCAAGAACAAAAAACCAAACACCGCATATTCTCACTCATAGGTGGGAACTGAACAATGAGAACACATGGACACAGGAAGGGGAACGTGACACTCTGGGGACTGTTGTGGCGTGGGAGGAGGGGGGAGGGATAGCATTGGGAGATATACCTAATGCTAGATGACGAGTTAGTGGGTGCAGCACACCAGCATGGCACATGTATACATATGTAACTAACCTGCATGTTGTGTACATGTACCCTAAAACTTAAAGTACAATAATAATAAAAAAAAGAAAAAAAAAAGAAAGTATTTGATTAACATGGTGAAACACATTGATGAACCTTTGATTCCTGGTATAAAACCCAAATTTTCATGATTCATTATCTATTTTATATATCATTGGCTTTGATTTGCACTTGTAAAAAGTAATAGAGAGATCCTGTGTACCTTTTACCAGGTTTCTCCATGAAAAATTGATATTGAAGTAATCCACCAATCTTAGTCAACGTTTCCAGTTGTGTTTCTGTGTGTGTCTTTAGTTCTTGCAATTTTATTATGTTAAGTTTGTGTATCCATCATTATAGTAAAGAACATTTCTCTCACCTCAAGGATCTGTTGTGTTGCCTTTTTTTTTTTTTTTTTTTTGAGATGGAGTCTCGCTCTGTCGCCCAGGCTGGAGTACAGTGGCGCAATCTCAGCTGACTGCAAGCTCCGCCTCCCGGGTTCATGCCATTCTCTTGCCTCAGCCTCCCAAGTAGCTGGGACTACAGGCAGCCGCCACTATGCCCGGTTAATTTTTTGTATTTTTAGTAGAGACAGAGTTTCAACGTGTTAGCCAGGATGGTCTCGATCTCCTGACCTCGTGATCTGCCCACCTCGGCCTCCCAAAGTGCTGGGATTACTAGCATGAGCCACCGCGCCCTGCAGTTGTGTTGCACTTTTATAACCACATCTACCTTCCACATCCGCAACACCTGGCAACCACTAATCTGTTTTCCTTATCTTTAATTTTGTCAATTCAATAATGTTACATAAATGGAGTTATACTGTATGTAACCATTTGGGATTCGCTTTTTTTCACTCAGTATATTTCCCTTTTAATTGCTGAGTAATATTCCATGGTAAGAATGTATCACTGTCTGTTAGCCATTTGCCCATTGACAATTTGCAGTTTGTTTACAGTTTTGGGTTATTACACGTAAGTGTTATGAATATTTATGTATTGGTTTTTGTGTGAGCATAAGCTTTTATTCTATGGCATAAATGCCCAAGAACACAAATGCTGGGTTTACAGTGGTTGTATGTTTTATTTTATAAGAAATTGCCTACTATTTTCAAGAGTGGCTGTAACAGTTTACATTCCCAACAGCAATGTTTGATTCCAGTTTTTCTGAATTCTTGTCAGTATTTGATGATATCATAAACAAATTTTATCCATTATGACAGATATGTTATGACATCTTATTGTAGTTTAAATTTGCATGTCACTAGTGGCTACTGATGTTGAACATATTATCATGTGCTTATTTGCCATCTGTATATCCTCTTTGGTGGAATGTCTCTATTCATGCCTTCTGTTCGTTTCCTAATTGGATTTTTTTCTTTTACTGTTGAGTTTCAAGAGTTCTTTGACCTTACACCTTTACTGTGATTGGATACCTACGATATTTCTGGTGTGAGGCAATATTGCCTTATTCTTCTATGAACATTCTTATTCATGTCTTTGTTGAGTTTAAATTTACATTTATGTTAGTATACACATGAGAGTAGAATTGTGAGTCATAGATCTGCATGTGTTTATTATTGGTAAATATTGACAAATAGTTTCAAAGTGGTTGCACCAACTTTATACTTTCATCAGCTGCATATGAGAGCTCCTTGACAACATTTGTTAATGTCGTTTTTTAAGTATAACACTTTCTCTGGATGTGTAGTGGACCTCACTAGGTTTTAATTTTTACTTCTCTGCTGATTAACAATGTTGAGGACATTTCTCTTTTTTTGATCAGATGGATCGTCATCTTGTAAACTCTCTCAAAGACTTTTGCTTATTTATTTTTAAAAAAGTGGTATCTTCTCTACTGTATGAGTAATTTCTTCATCCTTTTAATGATGTCTTTTGATGAATAAAGTTTTTAAATTTTAATGAAGTAAATTTTATTAATCTTTTTATATAGTTAATGCTTTTTCTTCACAGCCAGTCTTGTACCTGCTTCTTTGAAAGTAATGTGTTTTTATTCTCTAACAACTTTTAAGATTTTTTTTCTCAGAAACATTGACTAATACCAAAATCTGTATTAGTCAGAGTTCTCTAGAGGGACATAACTAATAGGATAGATGTATACATAAAGGGGAGTTTATTAAGGAGTACTGACTCACACAATCACAAGGCGAGGTCCCACAATAGGCCATCTGCCAGCTGAAGAGCAAGGAAGCCAGTCCGAGTCTCAAGGCTGACAAACTTGGAGTCCAATATTCAAGGGCAAGAAGAGTCCAGCATGGGAGAAAGACATAGACCAGAAATCTAAACCAGTCTAAGTGACATTAGACATTTTCTTGAGTTTTCTTTCTGCAATTTTCTTTACGTAAGGATCTGAATACCTCAAATTTGGTTGACTAAGCGTCTTGAACTCCAATTTTTGGGGACATCCCATTCTAGCAAGACTACTTAAATTTCTCCTCCTGCTTTATGCACTGAAGCAAATTGACAAATTTCAGGAGGAAAAATAGTGGTGCTGATCTACAACTAACCTCAATGCCCTTTTTTTTTTCTTTTGGGATCATGGCTCCTTAAATCCTGTTTGCCTTGATTTCTCTCTAATGATTTCAAACCACTGCTTTTAAAAATCCAGGTTTTATAGTTGTCAGTCCCCATATGAGCAAAAAATAATAAAATTAAATTAAATTAAAATTAAAATCCAGGTTTTATAGTTGTTCTTAGTTGTAATACTAGTCAGATGCAAACTACTCCTTCATAGCTAGAAGCAAGATTATGATTATTGTTAATAATCAAATCATCTCAAATTTTGATAATGGGAGTCCAGTTAAGCTGGATTCTGGATCATTTTGATATGTACCCTCAATTCATGATACTCCTTTACTCTCTGCCACAACAAAATGTTTCAAGGTCACTTTGTACTTACTCTGCCAAAGACATAGATTCAGTTATATCTCTAAGGATTCCAGTTATTTGTAGTGAAAAATGATGTTTAGAAGCCAAGATCTGGGGAAAAAGTATACTTATCGCTACCAGAGTAACATTGCTTCTGAATCTTTCCATGGCTTAATTGCATGTATTTAATCATTAATGCTAACAAAAATTCAAATACAATACCATAGCATTTGTCCTTGCCTTTTCCTATTCCATATTTACCCTTTCTTTCATCCTACAGTACAAAAACCAGTGTTAAAATGTCTATACCAATGCCATCACCAATAAAACTTAATAAAGCTCACAATTTCTGTGCATTTCCTTTTTTCTTAGAACATTTTATTGAGTGTACCTTCAAAATATTATTTTCTCAGATTAAGTTTTTCTATATAAATATGTTATCAATCAACATAGAGGTAGGGTCACTTGTTTCTCTTTTGTGTTGAACTTTGTGGAACATATCAATGGAATCAAATGATTATTTACTTGAGAACTATTAATATAAGGATTTATATTAATATATTTCCTAATACTAATATAAGGATTTACATTAATAGATTTCTTAATATGAGTCTTTAATCTCCAGAGCAAATATGGTTTGGTGATGATGTATTATTTCCTTGACACCTTGTTGGCAGGTTTCATTTGCAAATACTTAGGATTCTTGAATCAATATTCATAAGGAAACATGATTTCCTAGTTTTGTGTGTGTGTCTTTGTCAAGCTTAGTTATCAATATTACATTTATTTCAAACTTTTTCTTATTTTATTTCTATGCTTTGGAACAATTTAAAAAAGAATGGTCTTTGAAGAATTGGTCAAATTTCCTACATAATCATCTAGTTTGAGTGATTTTTGAGCAGGTAGTTGTTTGAATTCTTTATCATTTTATACGTCAATCAGTTTGTTGAAACATTCTATTACAACCAGGGTCAATTATGATAAATAGTATTTTTGCATAGGATTTCAAATACATTTCCATAGGTTTACCTGTAATAATCTCATAAGTTTGTTCATTTCATTTTTAAGTTATTTCCCCTCTGCAGCATTTCATTTTGTAGATAATTAAATACTTTCACCTTTTATTCTTTGCATAATTACATAATAGTGGTTTGTTCATTTGGTAGTTTTACCCAAAGAGCCCTAATTGTATTACTTTGACTTTTTAATATATTTTATTAATTTATAATTTGAGTACAATAAAGTGTACCCATTCTAAGTGTACAGTTTGAGCACTCTTGGAAGTGCACTTTTATAAACACATCATAATCAAGACATAGAACATTCTCACCTCCACAAAAACTCTTTTAGGCACATTTGTAATAAATCGCCACTACCATTTCTGTCATTAATCTAAAGAAAACTACTAATCTGCTTTCTATCACAACAGGTTTGTTTTGCTATTCTAGAATATCATATAAATAAAATGATACAGTATGGGTCTTTTGTGTCTGCCTTCTTTCACTTAATATAATGCTTTTGACATTCATCAGGTTGCTCTATCAGTTCATATCTTATTATTAATAGCTCAGTATTCCATTGTAAAGATATAATAACTTGCATATACTTTTACTGTGTATCTTATATATCTTCTTTGGGAAGTATCTGTTTCAATCTTCTGTTATTGTTATTGAGTTGTTTGCCTTCTTATTAATGTAAGAATACTCATTCCAAAAGGTATAAACAATCATAAAGATATATAAAATATATGGTGAGAGTATAAATTGTCTTATAGTTATGTAATATAGTATTGTGTGTGTATTGTCTATGTATATAGAGAAAATACAAAATACTTTTTGCTCATCTGTGAGTTGCCTTTTTATTATATTAATGGCATTTTTTGAAGAGTCTTGCCTGATACTCTACCTCTGTATCCCATTGTCTCTAGCTTTTTCAGTTACATGACCCAAGATATTTCCCTGCAAAAACCAGCATGAGCTGGGGTTTTCCCCAGCAGAAAGAATCCTGAGCAATGCCTAGTGAGCTCAAGGCAATTTATCAGCAGCTTTCCTAGTGTCCAGATGTTAAATCAATAAAAATATTAATTACCATTTCAGAACCCAAGCTCAGAGCAATGGAGCAGTTGGTTCCAGACCACATCGCAATTGCAATGTTGATTTTTATTTTCCTCTGGGAGGTAGATGGTATATTTTTCTCCATAATGTTTGCTTATCATCATTTATCAATTCGATATTTTTTCTAAGCCATTTAACAGTTTTATTTATCAATTTAGATGCATGTCTTCACTTCCAACTAGACTGAGTTCTTTAATGGCAAAACATATTTCCTCACACTTAGTAGGTACTAAAAATAATCTGAGCACACTAAACTTACTGGTTTTCTTATGTTCTATCAGAAATAGAACACACAACTTTACCTCAATTTTCTGTAAACTCATTTGGTAATCATTTTTTCTTCTTCATACTACCTTTCACCCAATCAAATACCAAGTCTTACGAATTATATATCTGCAAAATCTGTAGTTCTTCATCTTCACTATTATTTCCTTAGTCCAGACACATCATTTCTTGCTTAAATGGCTTATTATTTTTACTTTGATTCTCTGCTTTTTGGGGGATGAAACTTTAAAGACACATCTAAGATATAATCCACATTGCAATCAGCAATACTTTACAAATATCTATTCCATTTATTTATTTATTTGCTATGTGCCAACACTATGCTATGCTTTGTGGTTGTTAAGATGAAAAAAGAAGAGCTCCTGGCTTTCCTTTTATAAGTAGAGTAGACAAACTTCAGAAAAATAATGAGGAATCAAAGAAGCAAGTATGAGTCAATTTATTTGGGAGCATATAAATGGCAGTGAATACTTGAGCTGAACCTTTAAAGAGGAGTAGAAATTTGTTTGTCGTGTTCCTTTGTTTTTAGTTGGAGCCGAGTTGAGAAATAATTTAGATTGTGTCCTGTAAGCAATGAAAAAGGAAATTGCCATTATTTTTATTTTTAAAAGATAATGTTAGTGGCAATTTAGAGACTGCTTGGAATTAGGAAGTTTTGATCATGTGAGTCTTTTTTGTATGACTATATTGAGTATTTGGAATTTAATCAAGAAAACTTGCCATTTAAAAAAAAACTTCAGCTACTTTTTTTTTATGATAGAACAGCAAAGCACCATAAACCAGACCTATTTATGAGGCAGAGATTTGCTTAACAGGTTCCTTAGGCCAATGTAAAGCAGCTAGGCACCTAATACCCTGGATAAGCAGAACTGTGGTATGAGGAAAAATGCAGAAAAGTGTGCACAGGGACTTAGGAGCCTCTGGAGAGGGAGGGATTAAGAGCTGTCTCCTTTCTTCTTGAGGTTCAAGTTTTACTCATGAATTGATTAATTTTCACAAAAGATCCACTGACCCAGAAAGGACTGAAGGGGAGTCTACCAAGAGGGGAAGGAGAGCCTGACTGGCGAGGTAGGCTCAACAATAGGACCTAAATAGGCATGAGAATGGGCATGTGGCTGACATTATCAACTACTCCTTAGCCTAGAGGAGAACTTCAGGCACAGTGACTGGGCCTTAAATGTAGAGTAAAGAACTATGACCTTTTAAGTCCAATCTAGAGCATCTTTAAATGAAGGGAATGCTCGTGGGAGTGGGATTCAGACCAGTAAAGATGTCTTTGCTGCATCTGATCAGGAAATGTTCACTAGTGCAGCACTAGTCCTCAATTGCACCATTGATTGTAAAAGAAACAAGGTAAACAAAAAACTGGCATTTGCTCATGGCCAGATCTGATTCTTAAGTTCTTGTTTAGCCTAGAAGCAGTTGCAGCTGTTTTGAACTGAATAATTCCCAGGGGTTCTTAGACAATTGCTAGGTATTGAGAAAGCCCCAAGAGAGACACTCTACAACCTTTGCTGTGTTAATTTTCTTGGGCTGCCATAACAAAGTGCAACAGACTAGGTGGCTTAAACAATAGAAATTTATGTTCTCACAGTTCTGGGGGTTAGAAGTTAGAGATCAGAGTATCAACAGGACTAGTTCATTCTGCATCCTCTCTCCTTCACTTGTAGATGGCCGTCCTCTCCCTGTGTCCTCACATGGCCTCTGCAGATATCTGTGTCCTCATATCCTCCTCTTCTAAAGTCACCAGTCATATTGGATTATGGTTCACTCTACTGACCTCATTCTACCTTAATTACCCCCTTTAAACAGCTTATTTTCAGGCCAGGTGAGGTGGCTAACACCTGTAAACCCAGCACTTTGGGAGGGCCAGGAAGGCAGCCCAGGAATTTGAGATCAGCCTGGGTAACATGGTGAAAACCCATCTCTACAGAAAATAAAAAATTAGCTGGGTATGGTGGCTCATGCCTGTAGTCCCGCATAGTCCAAGCTACTTAGGAGGATCACCTGAACTCTGGGATGCTGAGGCTTCAGTGAGCCGTGACTGCACCACGGTACTCCAGCCTGGACAACAGAGGGAGACCCTGTCTCAAACAACAACAACAACAACAACAACAACAACAACAACAACAACGAGCCTATCTCCAAATACAGTCACATTCTTAGGTGCCAGGCATTAGGGCTTCAATACATGAATTTTGGTGAGATGATAAAACTCAGCCTATAACACTTGCCATGTTGCACGAATGGAGACTTGAGTGAATTTGAATGTTAAAAAGATACAGCCCCTTAAAATTATTTTATTGTCAAATCTTTACTCATCACCAGTTTAATCAAATCTAATGCTGTACTAACTTGCTTCAGAACTTTGTGTTAAACAACCAAATAAATATAGAAGACACTGCTGGATTCCCTGTGTGTTCCTCTCCATTCCCATTCATGTCTGTCCCTCCAGAGAAGTTTCCAGTATGTATCCTAAAACATTGCTAGGATATTTTTATTCTTTTGTTGCAATCTTATCTGTACTCCAAGATAGTGAAATATATCAAACCAGTTACATCTGCTTACTATTCTTATATAAATGTTAACTTCAGAATAAATCCATACTCTGTAGCATGGCATGTTCCTTAAATATCTGTCCTCACCTGCGTTTTCAGTCCCACTCACTGCCCTTCCCCTCTGTAATAGTGAGCGGAACATGCCATTTGCACATATGTATCTCCATTCCTTTCCACGTGCTCCTCTCTTTGCCCGGAAAGACCTTGCCTCCTTGCATCTGTTTTGTTAAATAATAATTAGATAACACTTCTGTCACAATACACATTATATCAATTACAATAAGTTTTGTTACACGTTTTACCCAAACGATTCAGAGTTTTACCCAAATGATTCAGAGTACCTTGAATGTAACGAGTAAACTTTTTATAGGTCAATGTCTAGAGTTTGGCATATAGAATGTTATTAGCTCAACTAAAGCTAGTTTAAAAAATGATTAATGCATAGATCAGTTGGTTGTTGATGCTGCTTGGCAGCACATGCCTAGCCCGTGAAATTGAGAAAAATTTTAATTACTTACTAAATCTGAAAATCATGTGTCTCAGAGTCTCTGCTTCAACAACAGAAAAAGCACCTAGATAAGGGGAAAATATAAATACATTTTCTAAAAGTTGTTTCTCCCACTGAGACTTGCATACCACTGCTGACTTCCCTCTGCGACTGTGGTATGTATGACTGACAGGCTTCAGGATACCTAAGCGCAGCCCACATTTGAAACCTGGCAGCTCAGCCTCCCCTCATCCTGCTGGGAGCTGTTACAAGCTATGAGGTGCCAGTGGGTTTTATTCCTGCCTTATTAAAATGGAGAACTAGACCCCAAAAATTAAAGCTCCCAAAACCCACAACTCAGAAAAGGAAATTGGGGTTTAGGGAGGCATATAATAGATTTCTTCACACAAATTCTAAAATTTAAAGGCCGTTTTATTACAGCCACATTCAAAATCTACTGTAAACTCAACTCCTTCCTCTGAAGAAAAAAAAAATACCATTTCTAAGAAATCATAGGTCATAGACTTCCTAGGAAAAGGTAGAAGTCTGTTTCTCTCCAGGTAACGATTCTCCCAAATACGGCTATCTCTGCATGGGAGATAGCCCCCACCTCTCATTTGCTAAATCGGGCAGCCGGTTCCTGCACACAGCCTTGCTTCTCCATCACCTCCCAGTGCTAATTGCTTCTCTAGGATGTGTTGAGAAGCTGGAGTGGGAGGAGCTGGGCAGCATCCTGAGGTAATTCCTGAGGGCTCTTTTCCTGTACTCATTATTCCTGTCTGACACTGTCAGCCTCCAGGTTTCTTCAGAGCACCTCAGGTCAGTCATGCTAGAAGATGGCATCATGAGCCACCTGCCTTCTGAATGATATAATGGGAGGTTAATTCCCAGGCACAGTGCCTGGGGAAGCCAGAGAGTGTGCAAGGGAGACTGGTAATTCCCAGGTAGATCTGTGTCAGCTGTCTTGCCCTAATTACTGAAAGCAGACAGAAGCCCTCTAGGTGAGTAGACCCAGTAGGACGCAGGCTGCCTAGGAAGTTTTCACTAGAGATCAAGCCAGAGGAGAGTGCAGAGACCTCATGGGAAGCTTTGCCTGGAATGAACCAAGGGTTCATAAAATAGGCCACTGGGTAGGTTTTCTTTTGTGAACCTCAGAATGCCTGACCCAGGGCTCAAGGCTTATTCAGCAATCATTCAGTGTCACATGACTTGGCTCATAGGCTGAGAACAGAAATGTCTTTACAGAGGGTAATATAAGAAAATTTGACTTGCTAAAGCAATAGCTAAGTTAAGGGTAGCAACAAGTACCTGAAACACCCCTAATATATGCATTTTTAAATAAAAGCTCTCTCACCACACACACACAGAGCAATAAACTAATTTCCTTTTTTTTTACTGGAAAAGAGCCTATGCAAACGTAACAAGTATGAGACACACTGACTCTCTAAAGAGATCAGAAATCATCTAGAAGGACCATCTCTGCGAGACATTTCTACACTGGAATGCACATTGTTCCAAGACTGTTTTAACTCTTCCATGTGATCATGCCTGTTTCCTCAAATAAATGGCAACACTCTCAGCTAGATCGTTATTTGTCTCATCTACTTTTGCAAAGTCCACAGGGTCTAGTAAAGTGACAGGCAAAATAAGGTGCTAAGTCAGCGTTCCTGGAGAGAAAAGAAATAAGGGGGTGAAGAAAACAAAGGCAGGATGGAGGCAGGGAAGGAGATAGGGAGGAAAATTAGAAGGTGATTGTCAGACCTCTGAGCCCAAGCTAAGCCATCCCCTGTGACCTGCACGTATACATCCAGATGGCCTGAAGTAACAGAAGAATGACAAAAGAAGTGAAAATAGCTTGTTCCTGCCTTAACTGAGGACATTACCTTGTGAAATTCCTTTGCCTGGCTCATCCTGGCTCAAAAGCTCCCCCACTGAGCACCTTGTGACCCCCCCACCCTGCCCACCGAGAACAACCCCCTTTGACTGTAATTTTCCTTTACCTACCCAAATCTTATAAAATGTCCCCACCCCATCTCCCTTTGCTGACTCTTTTCAGACTCAGCCCGCCTGCACCCAGGTGAAATAAACAGCCTTGCTGCTCACACAAAGCCTGTTTGGTGGTCTCTTCACATGGACACAAGTGAAATTTTGGCGCCATGGCTGGGATCAGGGGACCTCCCTTGGGAGATCAATCCCCTCTCCTCCTACTCTTTGCTCTGAGAGAAAGATCCACCTATGACCTCTGGTCCTCAGACTAACCAGCCCAAGGAACATCTCACCAATTTTAAATCTAGTAAGCAACCTTTTTTTTACTCTCTTCTCCAACCTCTCTCACTATCCCTCAACCTCTTTCTCCTTTTAATCTTAGTGCCACACTTCAGTCTCTCCCTTCTCTTAATTTCAGTTCCTTTCCTTTTCGGGTAGAGACAAAGGAGAGGCATTTTATCCATGGACTCAAAACTCTGGTGCCGGTCACGGACTCCAGAAGGCAGCCTTCCCTTGGTGTTTAATCATTGCAGGGACACCTGCCTGATTATTCACCCACGTTTCAGAGGTGTCTGACCACGTGGAGACACCTGCCTTGGTCCTTCACCCTTAGCAGAAAGTACTGCTTCTCTGGTGGGGAGGAACCCCCGACCCCTTCTCTCCGTGTCTCTACCCCTTCTCCACTTTCCTGGGGGGCAAGCACCCCCCAACCCCTTCTCTCCGTGTCTCTACTCTCTTTTCTCTGGGCTTGCCTCCTTCACTATGGGCAGCCTTCCACCCTCCATTCCTCCTTCTCCCTTAGCCTGTGTTCTCAAGAACTTAAAACCTCTTCAACTCACATCTGACCTAAAACCTGAACACCTTATTTTCTTCTACAATGCTGCTTGACCCCAATACAAACTCGACAGTGGTTCCAAATAGCCAGAAAATGCCACTTTCAATTTTTCCATCCTACAAGATCTAGATAATTATTGCCGTAAAATGGGCAAACGGTCTGAGGTGCCTGACGTCCAGGCATTCTTTTATACATTGTTCCCTCTGTAGTCTCTGTTCCCAATGCGACTCATCCCAAATCCTCCTTCTTTCCCTCCCACCTGTCCTCTCAGTCCCAACCCCAAGTGTGGCTGAGTCTTTCTAATCTTCCTTTTCTACAGACCCATCTGACCTCTCCCCTCCTCCCCAGGCTGCTCCCCGCCAGGCCGAGCCAGGTCCCAATTCTTCCTCAGCCTCTGCTCCACCACCCTATAATCCTTTAATCACCTCCCCTCCTCACACCCGGTCTGGCTTACAGTTTCATTCTGCGACTAGCCCTCCCCCACCTGCCCAGCAATTTCCTCTTAAAAAGATGGCTGGAGCTAAAGGCATAGTCAAGGCTAATGCTTCTGTTTCTTTATCTGACCTCTCCCAAAATCAGTTAGCATTTAGGCTCTTTTTCATCGAATATAAAAACCCAGCCCAGTTTGTGGCTCGTTTGGCAGCAACCCTGAGATGCTTTACAGCCCTAGACCCTGAAAGGTCAGAAGGCCGTCTTATTCTCAACATGCATTTTATTTTATTACCCAATCTGCTCCCGACATTAAATAAAGCTCCAAAAATTAAATTCCGGCCCCCAAACCCCACAACAGGACTTAATTAAACTCACCTTAAAGGTGTACAATGTTAGGGTAGAGGCAGCCAAGTAGCAACATATTTCTGAGTTGCAATTCCTTGCCTCCACTGTGAGACAAACCCCAGCCATATCTCCAGCACAGAAGAACTTCCAAATGCCTGAACTGCGGCGGCCAGGCATTCCTCCAGGCCTGCGTCCCCCAGGAGCTTGCTACAAGTGCCGGAAATCTGGCCACTGGGCCAAGGAATGCCCGCAGCCCGGGATTCCTCCTAAGCCATGTCCCATCTGTGCAGGACCCCACTGGAAATTGGACTGTTCAACTCACCTGGCAGCCACTCCCAGAGCCCCTGGAACTCTGGCCCAAGGCTCTCTGACTCCTTCCCAGATCTTCTTGGCTTAGCGGCTGACGATCGACGCTGCCTGATTGCCTCGGAAGCTTCCTGGACCATCACAGATGCTTTAGGTGACTCTCACAGTGGAGGTCAAGTCCGTCCCCTTCTTAATCAATACGAAGGCTACCCACTCCACATTACCTTCTTTTCAAGGGCCTGTTTCCTTTGCCTCCATAACTGTTGCGGGTATTGACGGCCAGGCTTCTAAACCTCTTAAAACTCCCCAACTCTGGTGTCAGCTTAGACAATACTCTTTTAAGCACTCCTTTTAGTTATCTCCACCTGCCCAGTTCCCTTATTAGGCCGAGACACTTTAACTAAATTATCTGCTTCCCTGATTATTCCTGGGCTACAGCCACACCTCACTGCCACCTTTTCCCCCAGTTCAAAGCCTCCTTTACATTTTCCCCTTGTATCTCCCCACCTTAACCCACAAGTATAGGACACCTCTACTCCCTCCTTGGTGACTGATCATGCACCCTTTACCATCTCATTAAAACCTAATCACCTTTACCCCACTCAAGGCCAATATCCCATCCCGCAGCACGCTTTAAAAGGATTAAAGCTTTGTTATCACTGGCCTGCTACAGCATGGTCTTTTACAGCCTAAAACTCTCCTTACAATTCCCCCATTTTACCTGTCCTAAAACCAGACAAGCCTTACAGGTTAGTTCAGGATCTGCCCCTTATCAACCAAATTGTTTTCCCTATCCACCCCATGGTGCCAAACCCATATACTCTCCTATCCTCAATACCTCTCTCCACAACCCGTTATTCTGTTCTGGATCTCAAACATGCTTTCTTTACTATTCTTTTGCACCCTTCATCCCAGCCTCTCTTTGCTTTCACTTGTACTGACCCTGACACCCATCAGGCTTAGCAAATTACCTAGGCTGTACTGCTGCAAGGCTACACAGACAGCTCCCATTACTTCAGTCAAGCCCAAATTTCTTCCTCATCTGTTACCTATCTCGGCATAATTCTCATAAAAACACATGTGCTCTCCCTGCAGATCGTGTCTGACTGATCTCTCAAACCCCAACACCTTCTACAAAACACAACTCCTTTCCTTCCTAGGCATGGTTGGATACTTTCAACTTTAGATACCTGGTTTTGCCATCGTAATAAAACCATTACATAAACTCACAAAAGGAAACCTAGCTGACCCCATAGATCCTAAATCCTTTCCCCACTCCTCTTTCTGTTGCTTGAAAACAGCTTTAGAGACTGCCCTCACCCTAGCTCTCCCTGACTTATCCCAACACTTCATTACCCACAGCTGAAGTGCAGGGCTGTGCAGGCAGAATTCTTACACAAGGACTGGGACCATGCCCTGTAGCCTTTTTATCCTAGGCAAAACTTGACCTTACTCTTTTGCCTAGCCCTCAATTCTGCGTGCAGCCGCTGCCGCCCTAATACTTTTAGAGGCCCTTAAAATCACAAACTGTGCTCAACTTACTCTCTACAGTTCTCGTAACTTCCAAAATCTATTTTCTTCCTCACACCTGACACATATACTTTCTGCTCCCCCGGCTCCTTCAGCTGTACTCACTCTTTGTTGAGTCTCCCACAATTACCATTGTTCCTGGCCTGGACTTCAATCCGGCCTCCCACATTATTCCTGATACCACACCTGACTCCCATGACTGTATCTCTCTGATCCACCTGACATTCCCTCCATATCCCCATATTCTTTCATGTTCCTCACCCTGAACACACTTGGTTTATTGATGGCAGTTCCACCAGGCCTAATCGCCACTCACCAGCAAAGGCAGGCTATGCTATAGTATCTTCCACATCTATCATTGAAGCTACCACTCTGCCCCACTCCACTACCTCTCAGCAAGCTGAACTCATTGCCTTAAGTCAAGCCCTCACTCTTGCAAAAGGACTACACATCAATATTTATACTGACTCTAAATATGCTTTCCATATCCTGCACCACCATGCAAGAGGTTTCCTCACTACAGAAGGGTCCTCTATCATTAATGCCTCTTTAATAAAAACGCTTCTCAAAGCCGCTTTACTTCCAAAGGAAGCTAGAGTCATTCACTGCAAAGGACATCAAAAGGCACCAGATCCCATTGCTCAGGACAATGCTTATGCCGGTAAGATAGCTAAAAAAGCAGCTAGTGTTCCAACTTATATCCCTCACTTTCAGTTTTTTTCCTTCTCATCTGGCCACTCCCACATACTCCCCCACTGAAACTTCCACCTATCAATCTCTTCCCACACAAGGCAAATGGTTCTTAGACCAAGGAAAATATCTCCTTCCAGCCTCACAGGCCCATTCTATTCTGTCGTCATTTCATAACCTCTTCCATGTAGGTTACAAGCCACTAGTCCGTCTCTTAGAATCTCTCATTTCCTTTCCATCATGAAAATCTGTCCTCAAGGAAATCACTTCTCAGTGCTCCATCTGCAATTCTACTACTCCTCAGGGATTATTCAGGCCCCCTCCCTTCCCTACACATCAAGCTCTGGGATTTGCCCCCACCCAGGACTGGCAAATTGACTTTATGCAACATACCCTGAGTCAGGAAACTAAAATACCTCTTGGTCTGGGTAGACACTTTCACTGGATAGGTAGAGGCCTTTCCCACAGGGTCTGAAAAGGCCACCACGGTCATTTCTGCCCTTCTGTCTGACATAATTCCTCGGTTTGGCCTTCTCACTTCTATACAGTCCTATAACAGACTGGCCTTTACTAGTCAAATCACCCAAGCAGTTTCTCAGGCTCTTGGTATTCAGTGGAAACTTCCTACCCCTTACCATCCTCAATCTTCAGGAAAGGCAGAACAGACTAATGGTCTTTTAAAGACACACCTCACCAAGCCCAGCCTCCAACTTAAAAAGGACTGGACAGTACTTTTACCTCTTTCCCTTCTCATAATTCAGGCCTGTCCTCGGAATGCTACAAAGTACAGCCCATTTAAGCTCCTGTATAGACCCTCCTTTTTATTAGGCCCCAACCTCATTCCAGACACCAGACCAACTTGGACTGTGCCCCAAAAAACTTGTCATCCCTACTGTCTTCTGTCTAGCCATACTTCTATTCACTGCTCTCAACTACTCATAAATGCCCTGCTCTTGTTTACACTGCCCATTTACACTGTTTCTCCAAGCCTTCACAGCTGACATCTCCTGGTCCTATCCCCAAACCGCCACTCTAAAGTCCCTCTTAAAGTAAATAATCTTTGCTGGCAGGGCTATGCTGAACCTCCTTAGGCACTCTGGTTAGATGTCCTAGGTCCTCCCAATTCTTAGTCCTTTAATACCTGTTTTTCTCCTTGTCTTATTCCGTTTAGTTTTTCAATTCATACAAAACCGCATCCAGGCCATCACCAATAATTCTATACGACAAATATTTCTTCTAACAACCCCACAATATCACCCCTTACCACAAAATCTTCCTTCAGCTTAATCTCTCCCACTCTAGGTTCCCACGCCGCCCCTAATCCCGCTTGAAGCAGCCCTGAGAAACATCGCCCATTATCTCTCCATACCACCCCAAAAAAATTTTCACCGCCCCAACACTTCGCTATTTTATTTTTCTTATTAATAGAAGACAGGAATGTCAGGTGTCTGAGCCAAAGCTAAGCCATCACATCCCCTGTGACCTGCACATAAACATCCAGATGGCCAGTTCCTGCCTTAACTGATGACATTCCACCACAAAAGAAGTGAAAATGGCCTGTTCCTGCCTAAACTGATGACATTACCTTGTGAAATTCCTTTTCCTGGCTCATCCTGGCTCAAAAGCTCCCCCACTGAGCACCTTGTGACCCCCACCCCTGCCAGCCAGAGAATAACCCCCCCGATTTGACTGTAATTTTCCTTTACCTACCCAAATCTTATAAAACGGCCCCACCCCTGTCTCCCTTCGCTGACTCTCTTTTCGGACTCAGCCCGCCTGCACCCAGGTGAAATAAACAGCCTTGTTGCTCACACAAAGCCTGTTTGGTGGTCTCTTCACATGGACGCGCGTGAAATTTGGTGCTGTGACTTGGATCGAGGGGACCTCCCTTGGGAGATCAATCCCCTCTCCTCCTGCTCTTTGCTCCGTGAGAAAGATCCACCTACGACCTTGTTGCTCACATAAAGCCTGTTTGGTGGTCTCTTCACATGGATGCAAGTGAAAGGGATATTTTAGAGTTTTCCATATTTATAGAAAAATTCACCGTCTGGGCCAAATGTAGGTTAAAATTTGGTTTTTACTACAGTGAATTCAAAGGTCCAGAGACCACAAAGGTAAAAAGCAGTCAACAGCTTTTTCACACAGTTCTCTTTCTACAGTCAAATTCAAATAATATTTAAATACATTCTGCCCTGCGTTTTACAACCTTCCATCTAACACTTTGTTCAATGAACAAAACAGTTCTGGGTCCAGCAGCAAATAAGCAAAAATCCTGAGCTACATTCTTCAAATAGTACATGTGAATATGTTTTTCATATGTTTAAGGTACTGGTGCAGACAGCTAAAGGAATGCCAGCACCGAACTTGACCTACCTTGCTTATAACAATGAATTACCCTTTATGTAAGTATCCTTCTTTTTATAAATAGAAAAAACTGTGACATTGTCAATGGTAGCAAATACTGTACCCATGAGAGAGGTTTGTCCCTCTGATGATTTCCTCAAAATAGGAAGGAAGAGGAAATCCATATAGGACCTTATAAGTTATTTATTCTAACATTTTAATCTTTCCCTAATGGTAAAAGGAACACTGGAGAAACTCAACCTAAAGCTACAAGATCCTTATCTAAGTCCCTCCCACTTTGTTTCTATTTCTGTTTCTGTCTTTCTCTGGGGCATGATTGTACGTATGCCTACTCATGCACTCATGCACCTACGTACACATGCACTTTCCACTGGAAGGTGAAGGAAAGGAAAAGAGTGTATTGTATAATTCCTAGAAAGCTAATTTTATTTTTAAGGATAAAAAGTTTTACTAGAAAGAATAAGGTGACAGAATTGCTTTTTGAAATATGTATTGCTTTTTCCCCTAGAATTTACTTTTTTGTCAGTCTTTCATCTAGCTCCTTGTAGCAATCTAAGAATATTCTTCTCTGATTCTTGTTCCAGTTAAGATGAAATAACCACCCTCTACTCTGTTTTTCTCACAGAGTATAGCTGCAAAACCTGGATAGAATGCATAGATCAACTAGTTGAAGGCTCTGAAATATAATTAGTAACAGGAAGGTTGAGGAAGAAGACCAGAATTCAAAGTTCCACCAAACTGGTTACATTTTTTTTCTGCCTGTCTTCCTGCTGCCTGGCTCCAGATGGAGGTGCAGTTGTAGAAATATACAGCAAAGGAGGGCTGGAATTAGGTTGAGGAAGTGAGGCTGGGTAGTAAAGTGCAGAGCTGGATCCTGTCTTTACTTAAATTGCAACATTTTGTTCATTATAAATTTTCACATTAATTTTGATTTTTTAAAATATCGCATTAAAATTTTACTTATCTATTGAATGTTTTGGTACCCTCTTAATTTCTGTACCCAAGAAATGTGCCTCACTTTTTTCACCCTGGTCTTGGCCCTGCAATGGAGTAGGATAACTAAAGCCCCATCTTTCCTGCTGGAGGGCCTAAAAAGTGATCCCCAGGGTACTGGAAACTGACAAAGAGATTAAGGATAAAAAGTAGCTGAGAAATGTGAGCCCATGCAAATTGTACATGAAATGCTAGGCAGTACATGCATAGATCTGATTCTAATCAGCACCTCCAAATCCTTGACAACTGAGTGGTGACATACATCACCACCTAGGTCCACCATACTAGGTGGAGCACAAGCAGGACGGATAGAAGCAAAGGCTTTGAAAACTCAACTGACATTGGAACAATAGACAACCCCCACAGAAGGTGAAACTGAACTTGCAGCCGGAACCTAACAAAAAAAAAAAAGTCAACATTTTGTATGCTGTTTAAACAGGATACAGTCAAAAATTAGTCATCATGTGAAAAACAAGGAGAATCTCAACTTACATGGGAAAAAGCAATCAACAGATGCCAAGACTGAGATAGCACAGATGTTGAAATTATCTGACAAAGTCTATAAAGCAGGCATTATAAAATTGTCCCAATATGGAATTTTGAAACCTTTTGAAACAAAAAATAGAAAGTTTCAGCAAAGTATTAGAACCATAGGAATAACTAAATGACAGTTTAGAGCTAAAAAATATAATAACTAAATAAAGGGCTGGGCGCAGTGGCTCATGCCTGTAATCCTAGCACTTTCGGAGGCCGAGGCTGGTAGATCACCTGAGGTCAGGAGTTTGAGACCAGCCTGACCCACATGGCGAAACACCTTCTCTACTAAATACAAAAAATTAGCTGGGCATGGTGACTCATGCCTGTAATCCCAGCTACTTGGGAGGCTAAAGCAGGAGAATTGCTTGAACCAGGGAGGTGGAGGTTGCAGTGAGCTAAGATTGCACCATTGCACCCCAGCCTGGGCAGCAAGAGCGAAACTCCGCCTCAAAATAAATAAATAATAAAAGAATAAACAACTCACCTGTTGGGGTTGACAGTGAAATAGAGATGAATAGAGAATAGAAGAAAGAGTCAGAAAACTTTTAGATAGATCAGTAGAACTTCTCCAGCCTGAATAACAGAAAAAAAAGAGATTAAAATATGTAACAGTCTCAGAGATCTATAGGTCAAAAGCAAGATGTCTAATATTTATGCTGTCCGTCCCAAAAAGTGAAGAGGAAGAGTTTGGTGCTGAAAATATAGTTGAATTAATAATGCCTGAAAACCTTCCAAATATTTTGGTATACGGCCCTATGAAATTTAATGTATGCATTGAATCATATAAAAACCACTACAAAAAGGTAACAATAGAACTGGATTTCAACCCTAGGTCTTTTTCACTCAAAAGCTTACTTAGGTCTTGTTCATATGCTTCCTTAGGTCTGTATTTGAATTTTATCAAATAGATACTCTCTTTTTTAAAATGTGAAGAAAAAAGTATCTCATAATTTCCTCCATTCTCAAAAGTTCCTGACATTGAACTATCAATGCTACATTAATGACTATGCTCCTGGCAGTTTCCCTCAAAGCTGTTTTCTAATAGATGAAAATCTTCAGTGACCTAGAAGAAATTGAGGCCACCTTTGACAGCAAGGAATCTTTCAGTTTGTGGAGTCTCTTTACTTGCTGGGCATTTGGCTGACCAAAAATAAAAAGTGGGGTGGAGGTTAATACAAATTTTTATACCTCTCATTACTGCCTCCCAGGGCAGAAGGAAAAAATTTCATATATATATATATATATATATATATATATATATATATATATAAATTATATATATGATATATATGATATATATGTTATATATATGTTGTGTGTGTATATATAATATATATACACATATATATGGAATATATATAATATATACATATATGGAATATATATATTATATATATACACATATATATGGAATATATATTATATATATACACATATATATGGAATATATATATTATATATACAATATATATGGAATATATATATACACACATATATATGGAATATATATATACACACATATATATGGAATATATATATACACACATATATATGGAATATATATATACACACATATATATGGAATATATATATACACACACATATATATGGAATATATATATACACACATATATATGGAATATATATATACACACACATATATATGGAATATATATATACACACACATATATATGGAATATATATATATACACACACATATATATGGAATATATATATATACACACACATATATATGGAATATATATATATACACACATATATATGGAATATATATATATACACACATATATATGGAATATATATATATATTCCATGCCTTCTGTTCATGTCCTGGAAAATTATCAGATGAACATGAAAGTCATCAGACAGCTGTGCGTCCAGTGAGAAAGATGCATTTATAAAAACCAATAGGAGCTTCTCTCATAATGGGAAATAAAAGTTAAAACCAAATAAAATCAGGAGGTTGGGGCCATGAGACAAAAAGCAGAAAATTTAAATGAATTTTATCAAAAGCCTTGATACGCAGTGACTTGCCAAGGACAAATAGCTACTTTAGTTCTTAACCAGGTGCACTGTTAGGAGAAAGGACTTAAGCTTTTTTTTTTTTTTTATTTTTTCCTCATAGCAAAGTCACTGGCCAGGTGGAAAAGAAAATGTTTGAATGAATAAGATGAGAAAGGCATTCTTACTTATGTCATTGCTGCTCATACAGCAAGAAAAGATCATGCAGCATGTAGTGTAAAGAGTACAAATTTTGAAACCAGATAGAATTTTTTGCACATCTCACATTTTCCTTTTAACTTGTATGTGAACTTGCCAAGTCATTAAACCTGCCTTGATCTCATGTTCACGAACTGCGAAGAATGAAGATGTTATGCCCGCATCACCTGACTGTTGTAAGGATTAATGCATATAAAGCACACACCCAGCCACATCTCTAAGAACTTAGCTATTATGAAGAATAAGAGATAGAAACTCAAGTCTGAATGACAGATAACATTTTTCTTGCATGTAGAGTAACAGTCCCTCTAACTGGCCTTCCATCTTCATCTTGTTTTTTTGAGGCTTGAAGAACCAGGCTAGGATGAACCAGGTCTCCTTGACTTGACAACATTTCTGGGTAGTTTTCTGCATTCTAACAGCCTCAAGTTTTATGTATAAGATGGAAAAATAAAACATGTAATACTTCAATTAACTTTGACACACCTCAGTGAAGCAATTAAGTAACTTGGAGTATTAGTTTGAATTTTAGCAAAAAACCCAAAGGGAAGCAAATATTAACCTGGGAATGCGCCCAACATGGTTTTAATGCTGAGAACTGTATAGCTGATTCAGCTCATCTGGGATTTAGTAAGCTTCTACTGGATGTGACATAATCTCTGTCTTCCAACTGCCTAAACCAAATCCAAGGAGTCAGAAATCTCACTAGATATTCCAGTGTGATAAATCCAGTAATGGAAAGATATACAAGGGACATTAAGGAGGCCACTAACTTTGTTCAGGGTGATAGATGTGCTTCACAGGGAAAGTAACATCTGAGCACAAAGATATATACGGTTTTCACATTTGAGGTGGGAACAGGTTTCCCAAGAAAGGACAGCTTGCACAAAGATACAGAACCCAGTAATTGCACAGCGTTATCAGGAGATCTCCTTAAGTCTACCATGGTCCTAAGACAAAGCCTTGGGCATGAGAATTCATTTCCCTAGAGTCAGAGTTGTCTGGTTCTAAATTTCACACAAGTGGATATAATGTAGGGAATAATATGTAGACAAAAAAAATCTAGGTAGACTATTTGATCTTGGGCAAACCACCCAGAACATTAGTTTCCTCATCTGTAAGTAACCACTTAACACTGGCTATTGAGAATTTACTGATATTAAGATACCTGTTAGCATGATACGGTGGCATGTGACTGCAGTACCAGCTATTCAAGAGGCTGAAGTAAGAGGCTGGCTTGAGCCCAGGAGTTCAAGGCTCTAGTGCACTATCATCATGCCTGTGAACAGCTACTGCACACCAGCACAGGCAACATAGTGAGATGCCCATCTCTTTAAAAAGATAATTAAATAAATAGTATTTAAACTGTAAAACATACAGATGTCAATTATTATTACAGATATTTCTTTTGATATTATAATTTGTAAATCATCAACATTAGATTAACCTTAAATAGCAATATTCATAAAGCAACAGATACACAGTAACATGAATAATATGAGTATGTAATGCATGGCTGCCACTAAAATGTTCTTAGAGTTGAGATAGGTATGAAGAGATCTGGGGACTTTTGAATCACTTTCAAAATGTTTAGTGACTAGGAAGAGAAAATCAATCACATATTATTACATTCTATCTGCAAAGTGTAGAGGAAAAGCTTTATCATGAAAGAGGTACTGTGATAGAAAAACTAAAACAAGTCAACAAAGAGTATGGTGCTTGAATACATGGACTATTTAAAAAACATGAAAATATAAAGCAGTTTTCAAGCTGGGAAAACTTGGCCAAAGGATTGTGTGGAATAAGAAGTAAAAACCATGCAGCTACCCAGGAAGAATGAAGGAAAACGAAAGATGAACAAGGCAGCAAATCTTCAGCATGAGAAATTTAACACTTAAACTGCAGCAACTCAGAGTAGGAGGCACCGGAAACTTTGAAAGAAAGAACTACTGCAATGAGACAATTAAAAGGAGGCCCTGGTGATCTAATGATGAATACAACTTGTTTAGTTTAGTTTAGTTGAGCTTTGTTTTGCTTTGCTTTTGAGGGCCCTCATACTGCTACTTAGGTGCCATTTTAGAATGCATGTATTTTTTTCTTTCGTGTGTGTGTGTGTGTGGTGGGGGCAGTTTATACATAATAATTTTGCTTTTGTGTAATTATTTTTAGCTCTCCTCTGGATTATGACTCCCTGTAAAAGCTTGTTCATCATCTGATTAGTATGGTAATGAAGAACAGCAAATTATTGTATTCATTGATTTATTTGTTCTTTCATTCTATTAACCAATCAAGCCTACTTTATGCCAGGCTGGATATTACAGATACAAAGGTGACTAAGGGAGCCACACTGTTTGTCTTCAGGATGCCTATATGGGAATGGAAGAAGATGTCTAACTGAGAAGACAATACCAGGAATGTTAATAGCTGCTCTGGCAGGAGATGTAGAGTGTTATAGAAATCATGTGCTGGTATTTCTTGTGTGGTGTGGAGTAGGAGTAGGTCAAAATGAGGATTGTCAGGGAAGTCTTCGGGAACTAAATGCAGTTCTAAATGGTGGGGAGTTTTTTCATTCAAAACGTTTATTGAGGACTTAAATTGTCATGAGGGGCCCGGCGCAGTGGCTCACGCCTGTAATCCCAGCACTTTGGGAGGCTGAGGCGGGCAGATCACGAGGTCAGGAGTTTGAGACCATCCTGGCTAATACGGTGAAACCGCGTCTCTACTAAATACACAAAAAATTAGACGAGCGAGGTGGTGGGCGCCTGTAGTCCCAGCTACTCGGAAGGCTGAGGCAGGAGAATGGCGTGAACATGGAAGGCGGAGCTTGCAGTGAGCCAAGATCGCACCACTGCACTCCAGCCTAGACAACAGAGCGAGACTCCGTCTCAATAAATAAATAAATAAATAAATAAATAAATACATACATACATACATACATACATACATAAAATTGTCATGAGGACTTAGGGGATATAGAAACTACCAAATCACCAAACCTAATATATTAATGCTTATCTCCCAGTTTCTTCAGTGATTCCTGTGTTCACTCGGTGAATATATAATGAGTATCAATGGCTTCTATGGCCAGGTACTAGGTATGAGTCCTAAACAAGACTGACCTGATCCCTTCCTTCATCCAGTTTAAATGCAGCTGATCTAAAAACTTCACTGTACCACTGGAGAGACACTTACACTAAGAGGAACACTGATCAAAAGTTAGAAGTGGAGACGTTTTCTTCCCTGAGACAAGCATGCACAGAAAGTGAGCTAAAAACATCCTGAGAAATCATTTTGCTCTTTCCTCTGCCTGCACAAAGGACACAGGCATTCAACCAGATATTCGTGGGTGGAATTTGCCCTCCCAATTCCCAGAACCATGCATCCTCATTTGAAGGCCTCATTAGACCTGAATAGTCCTAATACATGAAGGCAAGAGCATGGTTGAAGACAAGCAGATCTAGGTTGAAATCCCAGCCCTGAAGCTCCATACCTGTGCCATCCTGAATAAATGCTTGATTTTCCTGGGCCTTACTTTCATTAGTCTATCAAAAAAAAAAAATGAGGGAAAATGCACCTATCTTGTGAAGTTGCCGTGATTCAATTAGCTAATCGAAATAAAGAAGCACACAGCATGTAGTGTTCAATAAATGTTGTTTCCTTATGCTGCAAGGTCCTGTCCAAATGTTAACTCCTGTATTAAAGCATTCTTAATTTCCCTCGGCAGAGTAGGGAGCTCGGAGGTCTTGTCTAGTGTTCTCATCTTCACATGAATACAATTTTTAAAAACTATGTTACAAAAGTTTTTAGCCTGTGTGTTTCCTCCATTAAGCTACAAACTCTTTGAGGGTGGGGAATTTGTTATCTGTACCTGTGCAGCCCCAGCCCTAGTTCATTGCTTAGGATCTTTTATCTGTTCTTCTTCATCTCTACCCCCTGCAAAATTACCCTGACTTTCCCCATTAACAGGAGGTAAAAATAACAGGGGGTTAGGGAATTCCTTGGAGCATCCTCACAAATGAAAAAAAATTGCTTGGAAAATCCCTGCATCAGCTAGAGGTACTTACCCGCAGCGCAAGTTCCTATAAATCTGCAGGTGAGTGGCCATGTATTTTTGACAGCCAAAACAAGAAGGAAATGTGAATATTTACATGACCTGATGTGCAAAAGGAAAAGATAAACCAGAGGCATTAGGGAAGCATAATTATCTTTGGTATTAAAACCAGAGAATCATTTCTCTGGGGCCTCACACAGAGGATACTTTAATTTAATTAACAATACCTCCAAGAGCATCTTTACAATACATATGACCCACAACAAAAAGACCATAACCATGAAATCTAGGGACATTCCTGCTGGTTATTTGCAATGTAGAGATAGATTTTATAATACCTAGAGGAACAAATGAACAGTATAATCTTCAGACAGTCCTCCTTAAACATTGTTTTCTCAGAGCCAGTTCAACATGTATAGAGGGAGCATCTGCAACTTTGAGAATCTACTTCCTGAAGAGTAGAGCTTAGTGGTAGTCTCTTCCTACAACAAACATGTGGCCTGCGTGGAGGTTTTTGATCTGCATAATTGATGACTATTTAGAAACATTCCTGAAGAATAATACCTTCTCTAAGAAGTGAGGTTTAAGACATTACATAAAAGGGATGACTGCAGAACCAAGTGGATCCCATCCCTCACATTAGCAAGAGGTATTGAAATAATTTCAAGGTATTCAAATAATTTCAGTAATTTCATGGTCCTGGCCTTTTTGTTGTGCATGATATTTACAGTAAAGATGCTCTTGTAGGCATTGTTAATTATATTAAACCTTATCCTCTGTTAGGCCCCAGAGAAATGATTCTCTGGTTTTAATACCAAGAGATAATTGTGCTTCTCTAATGTGTCTGGTTTGCCTTTTTCTTTTGCACATCAAGACATTAAATATTCACATTTCCTCCTTTCTTTGGGCTTCCAAAAATATGTGGCCACTCACCTGCAGATTTATAGGACTTGGCACTGCAGGTAAGTACCTCTAGCTGAGACAGAGATTTTCCAAGCAATTTTTTCCATTTGTGAGGATGCTCCAAGGGATTCCCTAAGAGTATTGCTTAATGTTTAAGAACTCAGGATCTGGACTCATACTGACCTTAACTACTATTAATTCTGTGACCTTGGGAAAATCACTTAACCTCTCTAAGCCTCAGCGTTCTTGTCTGTAGAATGTGGATAACAACAGAAACTATATCATAAAGTGTTGTGGGCATAAAATAAGAACGTGTGAAAAGTGCTTAGTTCAGTGGATGGGAAGCGGCAAGCATTCAATAAAATGCTAATTATTAACACACGTTTTGAATGGCAAACTCATTAACTCTCCTAAGTAGTGATTTCTTTCAATTGAATTATATTATACTTCCCTCTGGCTTATAATCTCTATTCATTCTTAATAGGGGTATAATTCAATACCTCTTGCTAATGTGAGGGATGGGATCCACTGGATTCTGCAGTTATGCCTTTTATGTAAGGTTTTATGCCTCCCTCTTTAGAGAAGGTATTATTCTTCAGGAATGTTTCTAAATGATCATGAATCATGCAGCTCAAAGACCTCCACACAGGCCACATGCTCCTTGTTAGAGGAAACTACTTTGGCTTCTGCCCAGAGTGTTTCCCTCAGGTTTCAGAGTCAAATGCTATTGTTTCAGTATTTCTGTGAGACTATTCAATAATCATTATTAAACACCTACTGTGTTCCAGGCACAGTGTTTGGTCCTGAGTCTGTTACACTGAACAAGATGAGATCCCTCCTTGCATGGCCTCAGGGCAGGCTCTCCTGGAGCTCCCTGACACCTATGTACCAGCACTTCAACACAAAGATGGTCAACATTGGAGCCTTCTAAGACCCTGGTCCGGCTCACTGTCAGCCTTGGGCCCAGGCCAGGAGGAAGGCCAGCTGGTTGCAGCAGGTGCAGATGCATTTTCCTGCCCACTGTCCTGGTGCCCAATTCTCTGGATGCTCATAGTCTCCTTTGGAGGCTCTAGACTCTTTAAAACAATCTTGATAAAAGTAAGTCTTTGTGATTCATTTTTATGAACATTCAATTTTATGAACACTGACTGAGCTCAGGAAGCAAGTGGAATCCACATGTCTGTTAGGGCCTTGGCATGTTCAGCTCCTCTTAAAGTGGTCTGTGCTTGAGAAGCAAAGACAAAAGTAACTCAGAGTGGCCACCAACAGGAGACATGAGATTTATTTTCATTCTCTTTCTGTAAGCACGTTTTTGATCAGAACTGCTCCTCTTTGTGTCTCCAGAGAACAGCCTGTGTCTTACTCAGATCCCTTATTAAAATCCTGACATCCCTGGGTCTTATTAAGGTAAGAATTCTTGCTTGCATCTATCTCTCTGTGTCTAGATTCTTGTAACATTTTACGTCAGACAGACTTTAAAGAGTGCAAGGAAAATGTATATGTGTTTGAGTAACTTCTATGTATCAAGCACTGAATACAATTATTATTTTACTTAATTCCCAAAGTAAAAGGAAGTGATAGCTTTATTTTATATAGAGAGGTTTATTTTATATAGGAGGAAGCGCTGGTAGATAGGTGTCAGGGAGCTCCAGGAGATGTAGAGAGGTCAAGCAACTTGCCCAAGATCATAAAGCAAGTGAACAACTGAGTTGGGACTGGAACCTAGGTCTAACTCCAAAGCTACATTTTCAACTCTACTAGAGTTTCTCAATCTTGGCACATTTGGGGCCAGATAATTTTTTGTTGTTTGTATACCCTATATATTTAAGGATATTTAGCAGCATCCCTGACTTATACCAACTAGCTGCCAGTAGCACCACCCCCAGTTGTAACAGCCAAAATTTTCTCCAAATATTGTTCCATTAAAAACTACTAACTAATGCTAGGCTAGGGAAAAATCTAGCAGGTTATCTAAGCTATCTGTTCCAAAAAGTTCCAAAAATGCTGAATTATGTAAGGTGATATGTTAGGAACTGTGGGGATGCAAACATATATAAAACATTGTACCTTTAAGGAGTTTAATAAAAAGACTTTGGAATCGGGGGAAAGATGTCTAGATTGCCTGTGAGGACAACAATTTGTTTTTTTAGGTGAGGAAATTATTAATGAACTGCTGTCCCTTTGCTAATCTGAACAACATTATCCGTGCCCTACAATGATATGATGAAAATGTGAACAGTAATCATCACAGATATAACAACAATCATGCGATATTGACAGACTCTTACTGATTTTGCCAGTGAGGAAATTGAGACTGAGAGAAATAATGTATTCTACTTTGAGCCATACAGCTGTGAAGAGGAAAGGCCAGGATGAGCATCATTTCTGTCTGGTTCCAACAGTGTTCAAGGGGATCACAAATGGTGAACAGTCACAGATGCTGCAAAAGACCCAAGTGCAAGCAATTGGCAGAAACCTCAGAAGTAAAGAGAAAAATAGCAAATTAGTCATGAGTTTCAGTGCTGAGCAAAATGAGAATATTAATCAAACAAATTTGGAAAAGACATCCCAGATGTCTAGAGCCATTAGACTGTTTACGTAACATAGATGAAGACGTCACTTTGTTCAATGATCATTTAAGAATCAAATTGCAATATGTATTTGCCTCAAAAATAGACAACTGATTCTAACTGGTGATAGATTATAATAGAGGAAATAAGAAACATTGAGGCAATGGAAAGAAATTTTTTTTAATAACCTTTATTGTCTATAGGAAGAGAAATTCAAATGACTTTTTTTTTTCCACAGGACCTAGAGAAGTGCCTGGAACTCGGTTCAGCACAGGTGTGAGGCCTGATTTCCTCTTGTGATCAACTCACAGTGTGCTGGCAAGACCTGCCAATCCACTCCTCTGGGAGCCCATCTGTCACTATGCGGAGGTGTCACTACAAGAAAATGGTCAGGGTCACTTTGCTGTTGTCTTCATATGGCTGCAAGTCTTTTCTTTAGTGAGTGCAAGAAGACTTGATTCAGTCTACCCTGAAATAGGGTCTTTGGTTCTTTTGTCTTCAATTTTGCTGTTCAAGAATTTTTTATTTCAAATTGCAACTTCCTTGGATTTTGCAGATACATATATCATCTTTTTTTTTTACTAGCTATAGTAGAGAAATGAAAACAGTTTAATAAATGAAGAAAAGGAAAGTATGAATATTTGAAGAAATAGATTTGGCAGTTAAATACTGATATGGTTTGGCTCTGTGTCCCCACCGAAATCTCATCTTAAATTCTAATCCCTGTAATCCCCACATGTTAAGGGAGGGACATAGTGGGAAGTGATTCGATCACGGGGGTGGTTTCCCCCATGCTATTCTCATGATAGCGAGTTCTCACCGAGATCCGATGGTTTTTATAAGTGTTTGACAGTTCCTCCTTCACATACACTCCTCTCTCTCACCTGGCACCATGTAAGACATGCCTGCTTCCCCTTCCACCATGATTCTAAGTTTCCTGAGGCCTCCCCAGCCATGCAGAAATGTTAGTCAATTAAACCTCTTTTCTTTATAAATTACCCAGTCTTGGGTATTTCTTTATAGCAGTGTGAGAACGGACTAATACAAATACTGTCTTAACAATGCTCTACTTTTCCACTTTCTAATTATTTCTGTTTTGTAAATTTTATCACTTAAGAAGTATCTCTAAGCTCCTCATGAAAGGTAGCACTTGTTTTTTCCTAAAAAGTGATAAGCACAGTAGCTGCTTAAAGTATTCTGACTGTCTTTAATTAATCTGAAGAAGACAAAAGAGCAACATGGAAGAAGAATTAAATTAAGAGTCAAGAGACTTAGTTTCTAGTCCAGGTTTCCCACAAACTAATTTTGCAACCTTCAGCAAGTCTTGGAGTTTCTTTGGGTAGCATTTGCCTCAATTTTACAACCCCATGCATAATCTATTTCTCCTGTCTACAGTAATGTAAGAACTATATAGTCACAGAGATTTGTCAAACCCCAGCTGTTAAACTTTATTTAAATTTATTTAACTTCATGCACTGAAAATTGTTGAACCTGGATGATGGGATTAGGGTGGTTTACTATGCGCTCTACCTTTTTATATGTTGGAAATTCTCCAAAGTAATTTTTAAGACTTTGAGTGAAAAATATTCTGTAAAATGTTTCAATCGAATAAACTGTCTCAAGGGATAGATCTATTCATGCCCTGCCTAAAGGTGACACCACTTATATCAAGAGAGAGTCATGGTGGGGGTAGCAAGAAAACAAAACAATAAAACAGAATTTACAACTATATCTATAATATAACTTTATGATTAAAAGAAAATAGAATAATTTGGAACCTAATATATCAGGATCACTAAGTTTTTGAGGTAATTGTATTGCCACAAAAACTACCTCTTTTACTTCCCCTATGCACATCCCCACACACAAAACATTGTTTAAGCTTTGAAATTACCCTTTAGGTTTCCAATTTTCCACAAATAGAAAGTTGTTTCTGAAGTTTCTACAGCCTTCAAGGAAGGTACCATTCCTACACTCACTTTAGAATGGCCAAGGAGAAAAATGCATGAAGAGAAACTTCTTTTTCAGTAGGGACATGGAGAATAGTGGGCAAAGGAGCAAAAGAGCCCCTGTCAGACAGTAAAGCCAGGGCTTAAGCAAGAACCTTTCGCTACACCTAAGATAGGGTGTCGATATGGTTTGGCTCTGTCCCCACCCAAATCTCATCTTGAACTGTAGTAATCCCCAAGTGTCAAGGGCAGGGCCAGGTGGAGATAATTGAATCATGGGGGCGGTTTCACCCATACTGTTCTCATGGTAGTGAATAAGTCCCATGAGGTTTATTGGTTTTAAAAAGGAGAGTTCCCCAGCACATGCTCTCTTGCCTGCCATCATGTAAGATGTGCCTTTGCTTCTCATTTGCCTTCTGCCATGAGTGTGAGGCCTCCCCAGCCACGTGGAACTGTGAGTCAATTAAACCTCTTTCCTTTATAAATTACCCAGTCTCAAGTATGTCTTTATCAGCAGCATGAGAACAGATTAATACCAGGGTCTTCCCAAGCATATGCTTAGTGGGATTTCACATTTGCTACGAAACAGTGTCCCGTTTGAAATGAGATTTTCTATTCCAGTTATTCTGGGCGTGTTCGACCATTGTAAATGTCTATATTGACAACCAGATAACTAGAAGGAACAACAACAGGGACTCAGAGAGGAAACTGTCATCAATGGAGATTCCAAATTTTGAGATGGGTGGAGTGCAATGAGTCACTATATGGGAGCTTGGGTTATCATCTTATGGAGATGGTGAATGTGTTCAAGGTATGAGAGAGAGTATAATAAAAATGTGATGCTCAAAAAGATGGAATGGAGTAGAGAGTAGCTAAATGTTCACAAGTTCCACTTCCTCTTACTGGACAAACAGGAAGATAACATTTCCAACTCCTCTTCTAGTTAAGTTGAAACCATATTTCTGGCTTCTGGTTAATGGCATGTGGATGGAAGTGATGAATGCCATTCCCAAGCCTGGCCTGCTGTTACCCATGTGATCTTGTATAGGGTCTGTCTCTCTCACCCACACAATCGCAAGTGAAGTATGATACTCTGAGATGAAAGGAGCCTGGATCCTTGAGTTGCCTCATGGGAGACAGCTGCACAAATGAACACTCTCCCCACGTCAGAGTATAACATGTGATAAATAGGCCTTATTCTCTTAAGCCACTGAGATTTAAAGGTTGTTGAAGCAACTAGCATTAATTACCTTAGATTTATGTTTTGGATAAAAGCATACATCTCCAAACAGCTTTCCAAGTAATAACACAACAATGTCATATAATATGAGCTATTATGTACATGAAATTTTCTTTGTATTGACAGTTTGGGGAATTCATTAATTATATTCCTTTGCCTTTTTTCTCCACTTTTTATTCCTTAGATATTTAATGAATGTTTTGTGAATGCCTACTGTTTGTCAAATATTATTCTTCTTGCTAGGAATTCCTTAGGAAATAAACAGTGTTTCTGGTCACATGGTGCTTACAATCTTGTGAAAAAAATCTTCTGGTTCTTCTAAATAATCATTTTCAGAGATCTGTATCTGGAAAAAGATCTTTGGCCTTATGCTATGTCTTTTTCAGAGCCCCATGATTCTTGACTTTTCATTTTATCGTCTCTTTAGTGGTCTTTATATGGGCAGACCTCTGTCAGGGCCAGCATTTAACAGGCTTGCAGCATTTCCCTCACAGATCCAAATATGAAGGGAAAGCTTGGTGTTCATCTTCTAGCTCCATGTGTGACACTCAGGTGCAGGTTTGCTTTACAAATATTCACTCTCTTCTAACCAATGCCACAATAACGAGCTTTGTAATTTCAATAGAAACTAATATTTTATTTATAATTCTTTGATCATTCAGTACAGGAGAAACCATACATCCTGGCATCTAATATTCCTAACATTCTTCCTCCCTTAAACCCCAATTTTAATATAGTCGCTTCCATTTGCAATGCCCCAAGATGCTGAGCTTTGAAAAGGTTTTTAAAGGTGAAGAAGTGCTGAAAGCAACAGAGAAAATGTCTAGCTGTAATTCCAAAATTAGTTGACCTAGGTTAGTGCATCCCCTAGATATAGGCAGTAAAGCAGATCAACATGTTTTAATATCTTCTTTCGGGAAGAGTTAGAGCATTTCATAGTAGGGAACAGAAGTAGCTAAAGAGGCCTGAATATTGGCTCTCCCACTCAAAATTATGGGACGTATGTCCTCGGACAAATCAATTAACCCAGCTAACATGTTTTATTACTCTACAAATGCACATATTAATATTGAAGTCCTCATAGGGTTGCTGTAAGGATTAAATGAGTATATGAAATGCTTCACATTAATATTGAGTTTCAGAAGGTGAACTCATAGTTTATTGCACAAGAAGGCATTTCTCAGTTTATGTTCATCATGGCACAGAGGAAAATCTCCCTTCGATTTGGTCAATTGTCCTTTTCAAATTTAGATTTCAGATTCAGTTTTCTGAATTTGTACGGGCTTTTCGATGGGAAGTTGGGAGAGGACATGTCAGGCAAGGCTTTGATAAGTTTAGAAACTCCTGCCTCATTTAAGGCAGAAATAACCTTAAAGTGAACCCAACTCTGCAAAGGCACTGCAGACTGCTTTGTTTTATAATCACCAAAGTTTCAAGGGATCTTTGCTGACGTATTTGACTTGAAATTTAAATGTATGCTTTGTAACAGAAGGTTAGATAACAAGTTTACTTGGTTGTCAAAACTTTGTCTTAAAAATACTCCTAACTCCTTGGTGGTTCATTGCATGGCAGACATTGGTAGGGATTTTGCTACCAGAGGACTTATTGAGGTACTGTTTGTATATGCTGCCTGAGGTTATTGCAGCTGAAACATGATCTCCAAATATTTCCAGTGTTCTTGGAAATGCACAGTGGTTCCAAGGATAGAATATATCCTGGGTCTCATCACCCTAGCTAAACATTTTGGGATAGATACGTTTTCTGCGTAGAGTTTTGTCCAAAATACACAACTCTATCTCCAATGAAATAAGAATATTTCAATAATGTAAAGATAATATAAACAATAATATAAATGTAAATATGCTGCTCTGCCTCAATCTATGTGATATAGTTACTAAGGATAAAATAACAAAGTATAAATATGAAAACATGGGTCAGGATGCACAGATCTCATTAGAGGCAGTGGAGCCTAGTGGTTAGGTGTAGGGGCCATGCACTAAAATATATCTGGATTTGACTGGCATGGCCACCAGTAAGTGTGGGCTTGAATATATCATCTGAACATTCTGGTCCTTAATTTTCCTCTCTAAAAACTAGACATAAAACATTCCACTCCAAGGATATTTTTAACATTAGGTTTTTCCTCTCAATTTCTCATCGAGGTATAGTTTACCAACAGCGAAATACCCATATTTTATGTATAAAGTTTGATAAGTTTTTCAAATGCTTACAAACCCCTGTCATGATTTAGCACATTTTCATTACTTCAGAAAGTTCCCTGAGGCCCTCTTCCAGCTAATCCCTGTTGGTTCCACTCTAGTGATGTCTTTCATTATAAATTAGTTTTCCTTTTAAAAAAGACCGAGTTTTCAAATGAAATAAGGTGCCTAAAGTGTTTAGAATATTTCTTGGTATTTAATAAGTACTAAAAATGACTTTGGTTATTATTAGTATTTGTGCACAGAGTTACAGGCTCAGATGACAGATGCACTGCAGCCACTAGAGAAGAATATGAGGGAAAATTCAAACTGACAGGAAATGAGTTGCATATAAAACATTAAGAAGGTAAAGAGGAAGATTAGAATATTTAAGTTAAAGCAAGATATTTTTTAAAGCTCATTGAATGCCTTCTAGATGTTAGCATTACACAACAAGTTTACGTTATTTTATCTTCATAATACTCTAAGATATTTTTATCCCCTCTGCACCCATTTAGCAAATGAAAAAAAAAAAAAAAAGACCAGAGAAGTTAGGTAGCTTTCCAATGTCACATAGCACCATTAAGTAATAAAGCTGAGATTCAAGTATCTTTCCAACTCTGAAGCTCCATCCATTCTAATAGACCATCATGAGCTCTATATTAAAAAGCACATAAGGGAAAGGAAAATAACATTGATTGGGTCTTAAAATGGAAAGACATTAAGCTTGGTGCTTTTTGCACATTATTTCATTCAATTATCAGTGATGTTATTTTTTCCCCATTTTACTCTTGTGGAATATGCAATATAGAGAAGTTGAGCATCAGAGTTCACATGTTAGTCTAACTTCAAATGGCAATACTTCCCACTGTCTATCAAAAAAAATGAGAACACATGGACACAGTGAGGGGAACAACACAGGGTGTGGGTGGCAAGGGGAGGGAAAGCATTAGGACAAATACCTAATGTATGTGGAGCTTAAAATCTAGATGATGGGTTGATAGGTACAGCAAACCACCGTGGCACATGTATACCTATGTAACAAACCTGCACGTTCTACACATGTATCCCAGAACTTAAGGTAAAATTATATATATATATACACACACACATATATATACATATATATACTTATATATATACACATATATATACTTATATATATACACATATCTATACATATATTTTATATATATATAACAAAAAGAACATTTAGCTTAACCCATAATTCAGTTTACAAAAACTCAAATTCTACAAAACACTCCTCGAAAAGACCTACTGAAATCTCAGTATTTAGACTTGAGGTTAAAAGATGTGATGAAGGACTAAAGTTGAAAAACATGCATGGTGTGAATCAGGACTAGACCAGTGGACCCCTACTCCTTGCATACACATTTTAAATAATGTGTGGATTTATGTAAAATATCTCGTTGGTAATTGAGTTATATTTACTTTAGCTAATATATCAGCTATAATCTGAGTTTTTTGTTAACCACTTTCAAAATTCCTTTTTCTTTCATATAAGAAGACATAGCCTAATCTTAGGTAATAGAAATAAAACAATAAATATGAACTTATGCTATCTTTAAAAATAAACTCATTAAAACACAGTAAATTTCCTGGCAATTGTGCAAGCTGAGAATTGAAATTGAGAAAATTTAGGATTTCTGACCCCTATGAGAAGTCATTGCATTTACACTATACATTTCTTTTTATTCAACTAATATTTGATTAAAACCAAATACCATGGCACTTTTTACAATAAAAATCAATACTTTATGAAGCTATTATAAAAATTAAATGACACAAATAAGCATTTTATATTATTAAGAGCTCACACTTGCCCTAACATGACAAGTCAACTTTCTCAGTCAGGCTGTTCTAAATAAACTATTGCTGTTTGTGCAAGAGAATTGTGAAATCAAAGTTTTTTCAACCAGTTAACATGAAAGGATCTTTGATTCCAGCACCAATGTATCTTCATTTGATGAAAATAAATATTTTAAGGCAATTTGCTAAGTTCACATCAAGCTCTCCTGGGTATGGTACTGAGAGGTGACAACATGCTGGCGGCCCTTGCTTGCTCTCAGCACCTCCTCGGCCTCGGTGGCCAGAGTGGACACGCTTGAGGAGCCCTTCAGCCGGCCGCTGCAGTGTGGGAGCCCCTCTCTGGGTGGGCCAAGGCTGGAGCTGGCTCCCTCTGCTTGCAGGGAGGTGTGGAGGGAGAGATGCAGGCAGGAACCGGGGCTGTGCACTGCGATTGCGGGCCAGGGCGAGCTCCCGGTGGGCATGAGCTCAGTGGGCCCACACTTGGAATGGCCTGCCAGCACCGCTGGCTCTGGGGAAGTGAGGGGCTTAGCACCCGGGCCAGGAGGTGCGGAGGGGGTGCCGGGTCCCCCAGCACTGCCAGCCCACCCGTGCTGTGCTCGAATTCTTGCTGGGCCTCAGCCACCTCCCCACGGGGGCAGGGCTCAGGACCTGCAGCCCGCCATGCCGGAGGGCCCCCCAGGGTGGGCTCCCACGTGGCCCAAGCCTCCCCGACGGGCACCAACCCCTGCTCAGTGGTGCCCAATTGCATCACCACCCAAGGGCTGAGGAGTGCAGGCACATGGCACATGACTGGCGGGCAGCTCCAACCACGGCCCTGGTGCGGGATCCACTAGGTGAAGCCAGCTGGGCTCCTGAGTGGGGTGGGGATTTGGAGAACTTTTATGTCTAGCCGGAGGATCGTATATGCACCAATCAGCACTCTGTGTCTAGCTCAGGGTTCATGGATGCACCAATCAGCACTCTGTATCTAGCTAATCTGGTGGGGACTTGGAGAACTTTTATGTCTAGCTAAAAGATTGTAAATACACCAATCAGCACTCTGTGTCTAGCTCAAGGTTTGTAAACACACCAATCAGCACTCTGTGTCTAGCTCAAGGTTTGTAAATGCACCAATCAGCACCCTGTGTCTAGCTCAAGGTTTGTAAACGCACCCATCAGTGCTCTGTGTCTAGTTAATCTAGTGGGTTACTTGGAGAACTTATACCTCTAGCTAGAGGATTGTAAATACACCAATCAGCACTCTGTGTCTAGCTCAGGGATTGTAAACGCACCAATCAGCACCCTGTCAAAACGGACCAATCAGTGCTCTGTAAAATGGGCCAATTAGCAGGATGTGGGTGGGGTCAGATAAGGGAATAAAAGCAGGCTGTCCGAGTCAGCAGAGGCAACCTGCTCTGGGTCCCCTTCCACACTGTGGAAGCTTTGTTCTTTTGCTCTTTGCAATAAATCTTGCTGCTGCTCACTCTTTGGGTCCACACTGCTTTATGAGCTGTAACACTCACCACGAAGGTCTGCAGCTTCACTCCTGAGGCCAGTGAGACCACAAACCCACTAGGAGGAATGAACAACTCTGGACGGGAGGAGTGAACAACTCCAGACGGGCCGCCTTAAGAGCTGTAATACTCACCGCGAAGGTCTGCAGCTTCACTCCTGAAGTCAGCGAGACCACGAACCCACCAGAAGGAAGAAACTCTGAACACGTTTGAACATCAGAAGGAACAAACTCCGGACACGCCACCTTCAAGAACTCTAACACTCACCGCGAGGGTCCGCGGCTTCATTCTTGAAGTCAGTGAGACCAAGAACCCACCAGTTCCAGACACAGTATCAGGAAGCAGAATGAGTCTAAACCATTTTCAGAATTTCCCCAGGAATTAAAAACATAAATGCCTTCAACATGGCAGGAAATGTTTCCTACGTTTTAATTTCATGCACATGTGAGAAAGAGAAAATGCTCAGAGAACTTAGGTCAAGAATGCTATTCTAATATCTCTGGTTGCCAGACATCAGAATATTAAAATAAGCATAGTGAAAAAAAATTCCACTTACACAAAGGATGAAGAATGCTGAAAGACAATGTTGTTCCCACCCAAACTACAAGGCAACAACAAGCAGTCCACAAAATGTAACTTATTTGGATCCCATCAGATAACTGAGGTTGCAAGACAGCAAGAACTACACTGAATTACAAAGAGCGATAAGCTCCTTCAAGGAGAAAGAGGACACATGAACTGTTTATAGAAAATGAAAGAAGGAAATGGCTGCCATAATATTTGGTAATAGAACATCAGCTAAAATGTTAAATTTTTAAAAGCCAAGCATGGGCTAATATGAACGTTTAAAATGACTGGGAGCCTAAGACTTAAAAGGAGTTCACAAATATATACTCAAAAACCCTTTATCATGAGCTTCAACTAGATGCTCAAAAGAAAGACCAGAGTCAGGGAAACAGTAGCAACAGCACTACTAGGTGGTGCAAGCATGCAGGTTCTGATCAGTGCCACTGTGGGACGAGCAGGATACCTTACCTGCTTTCCAGGACACTTCTCTCATAGAAAATAAAAGCTTTTAATCCACTGGGGGAGGACACACACACACACACACACACACACACGTGTGCAAGCAGAGATATACCACTTCTGGGAAGGAACAGAAACAAAATCCACCTGCCTATGATGTACGGTGGAGGAATGGAAAACTCTCATATGCACAAGGCCCAGCAAGATCTACTGTTTCTGGGAGAGTGACAGAAGCAATAGCTATCTAACTCTGGAATAAAAGGAGGAAATTCTCTGGGGCTTCAAATGCTGCACCAATGCAAAACAGAGTTCTGCTCTCAGTAGAGGAGCATCAGGAAACCCTCTGCCACCTAAGACACACCACAAATTAAAGGCAATGTTTTACTGCCATATAAAGAGGGCATAAATTCAGAGAAAGACCCCACCCACACCCAGAGGCTCAAGAATTACCTAAATCTGACACTGGATAAGGAGACTTGATAATGACCAATCAAATCCATGACAAGCCAAGCGGCAAGTAATAAACAATAGCAATTGATTGGTAATAGGGGCAAGGGCATGGAGAAAGAATCCCTTTATGATACACAAATGCAGCAACTGATGAAAGCTGAGGATGAATTCAGGAACACCAGAAACAAGCCTCTGATACTCCAGGCCCCATACTAAACACACACTGGAGGATTTGAAAGCTCTGGTGTATTGAGACTAATGGTACCAACAAAACAGCTCAATTCCTGGCTAGAATCATTCAACCTCTGACATTACAGCCTCACAGGAGAGGCATGCCCATTGTAAGTCATAAGTACAATTTACCTACAAGTCTACCTTTCATACATACACAATGTCCAATATTCAGTAAAAAATTGCAGAACCCACCAAAATGCAAGAAACAAATCTCATTGTCATGAGATAAACAGTCTACCTTACCAAAATCAGAAATCAGCAATGATTCATATGCTGGAAATACCAGACAGTGACTTCAAAATAATATGTTAAAAAATCTATGGGGGAATTTTGAAGAAAGAGGAAGCTTGTAGAAAGAGTCAAGTGGAATTTGCTAGAAATAATAAACGCAATACCAAGAGAAACAGATCCTCACTGTGTTCATCAGCAGACTGGACACAGCCGAGGAAACAATCAGCACACCTAAGGATAGGTTGATAGTTTTCTAATCTGAAACAACAAAGAGAAAAATGATCTACAATAAAGGAACAAAAAAACCTAAACAAACGAAAGGAGAATAAAGCATCACAGAACTGTGAGATACTATCAATGGTTTTATGCACATGCAATTGAAATGACAGAAGGAGAAGAGAGAGAAAATGGCACAGAAAAAATAAATATTTAAAATTTAGTGGCTGAGAATTTCCAAAATTAATGGAAGACAAGCCAAAGTTTCAAGAATCTCTGAGAGCCCCAAGCAGATTGCATGAATTTAAACAATAAGAATCCACTGAATAAACTATGGATAAAAAATAAATCACAAGGAAAAATACAAACATTTTAAACTGAATATTTATGACTGAGCGAAAGCAGGGCTTAAAAGGAAAAATTATAGCAGTATACACTTACATTACCAAAGAAAAAAATATTTAAATCAGTAACGTATGCTTCTACTTTCAAAAAGTAGAAAAAAAAAAGACTTCTGGTTCCAAAATGCTGGTGTAGAATCTAGCTGGCTTCACTGCCTCCCCACTCTTCAAAATACAGCACTAAGGTTATAGTCAGGAACATCCCAGAACTTAAGTCTGAGGAAAAGACAATTCCTGGGACCATAAAAAACTGAAAAAACTCAGAGCGAACAATAAGAGAATTGGGCTTGTATATCTGTGATACCACTACCTCCAATCTGCTTGGCACCAAACACAGAAAATCTCCCTTTGACTCCTGGTTTATACACTACAAAAAGTGAGGTCAGGGTGGACAATCAACTTCCCCACCATCTTGTGTTTCTTGGCAAGATACCTTTCAACACACCATAAGAAGTGTTGAAAGTGCCTGGAGAGAGATATATCCCTGAACATGGCCAGAGACAAAGTGGGGACATCCATCTGCAGCCCTGGAAACTCTGCTCTGTAACTCAGCCAAAGGAGACATCGAAGTGGATGTTCAACAGAACCATGCTACAGGAAGTTTGTTCCACAGTTCCCCTGGGCACAAACTCCTAGCTAGTCTTCCCACACTACTGGGTTATCCCCTTTGGAACCCCCCTCTTTTGGAACTGGAGGCACTATGATTGTTTACTAGAACTGAGGCAAACCTTGGCTTAGGTTGCCATCTAATACCAAAAAGAAGACAGTGACCTAGCAGGGAAAAAGAAAAGAAAGAGAGAGAAAATCAACAGGTAAATTACGAAGAACCTCTAAGCAAATGTATCTAATAAAAAACAAAACAAGCCAGACATAGATTACTGGAATAAATAATCCTTCAATGAAAAGACATAGACATACATCCACAAGAAACAACAGCAAGCAAGAAATTGTGATTTTCTCAAATGCACAAAGGAACCAATGACTGACCCTAACAAGACAGTGATATGTGAGCTTTCTGACAAAAAATTCAAAATAGTAGTTAAAAAAAAAAACAACTCAGTGATCTCCAAGATAACACAGAAAAGGAATTCAGTAGTTTATCAGAGAATTTATTGAAGAGATTGAATAATTTTTAAAAAAATCAAGCAGAAATTTTAGAACTGAGGAATATATTTGTTGAACTGGAAAATTCACTAGAGAGTCTTGACAGCAGAATGGACACAGCAGAGAGAAAAATCAGTGAGCTTGAATAGACTATTTGACAATACACAGTCAAAGGAGAAAAAAAAACATACTTAAAAGAAATGAAGATCGCCTACAATATATAGAAAATTCCCTAAAAAAAAAAAAAATCTAAGAATTACTGGTGTTTAAGAGAGAGTTGAGCAAGAGATATAAAGCTTATTTTAAAAAAGTAACAGAAATGTTTCCAAAGCTTAAATAATGAAAATCCATTGGTAAAAGGAAGTGCTAAAAGGAGATAAAATTCTGAAGTTATAAAGCTCAATGTTAAAATAAGTGGACAAACCCAGAATACTGTAATACTGTACCTGTGATGTGAAATACACCCATAACTCTACTGTGAAACCCAAAAGACTAATGTATCAGAAACAACAATAGCTACAGCAGCTTGTTAAGTATAGGCAATATAAAAATATGTAAATGAAGACAACATAAAGACTAAATATGGGGAAATGGAGTTACAGAGTTTTAAAATTATTTCTTTGTTGATATTCTTTTCTTTCTGATCTAAAATAAGCTGTCATCTCTTTAAATAACTTGCTATAACTGTAAGATCCTTTTTGTAAGCCTCATAGTAACCATAATGCAAATACCTATAATAGATTTATTAAAAATAAAAAGCAACAAATTAAAACATACTACCAGAGAAAATCACTTGACCACAAAGGATGACAGTAAGAAAGGAAGGAAGGGAGAGAAGAGTTAAAAACAATGAGAAAACAAACAACGAAATGGCAGTAACAAGTTTTACTTATCAATAATACCAGTGAATCTAAATTGATTCAATTCTCCAATTAAAAGGCACAGGATAGCTGAATGAATTTTTAAGAAGACTCAATTATAAGCTGCCTACAAGAAACTCATTTCACTTATAAAGACTCATATAGACTGAAAGTAAAGAGGTGGAAAAGGTATTCCATGCAACCAGAAAACAAATATAAGCAGGAATAGCTAGACTTATATCAAATAAAATAGACTGCAAATCATAAACTATAAGAAGAGACAAAGAATGACACTATATAATGATAAAGGAGTCAATTCAGAAAAAGGATATACCAATTGTAAATATCTATGTACTAAACCCTGGAGCACCCAAATATACAAATTAATTATTATTAAAGAGAAAGTTAGACACCAATACAATAATAACTGGAGACTTCAACACCATTCTCAGCAATGGACAGCTCATTCAGACAGGACATCAACGAAGAAACATTGGAGTTAAACTACACACCAGACCAAATAGACCTAACTGACATTTATAGAACATTTCACTCCACTCCTGCAAAATACACATTCTTTTCATAAGCACATGGAACATTCTACAAAATACAATATCTTAGGCCACAACACAAGTCTCAACAAATTTTAAAAGGTAGAAATCATATCAAGTATCTTTTCTGACAACAATGGAATAAAATCAGAAATCAATAAAAAAGAGGAGCCTCAGAAGATATACAAAAACATGGAAATTAAACAACATGCTCCTGAATGATCAATGAAGAAATTAAGAAGAAAATGTAAGAGTTTCTGAAACAAATGAAAATGGAAATACAACGTACCAAGGTCTTTGGGATATAGCAAACGTAGTACTAAGAGGGACATTTATAGCAATAAACACCTATATCAAAAAGATAGAAAAACTTCCAGCCAGGCACAGTGGCTCAAGCCTGTTATCATAACACTTTGGAAAGTCAAGCTGGGCAGATCACTTGAGCTGAGGGGTTCAAGGCTAGCCTGGGCAACATGGTTAAACCCCAGCTCTACAAAGAATACAAAAATTAGCCAGGCATGGTGGTGCATGCCTGTAATACCAGCTACTCGGGAGGCTGAGGTTGGAGGATGGCTTGAGCGCAGGAGTCGGAGGTTGCAGTGAGCCAAGATTTCACTGTTGTACTCCAGCCTGAGTGATAGAGCAAGATTTTGTCTCAAAAAAAAGAAAACAAAAAAAAAAAAGCAGAAAAACTTCAAACAACCTAATGATGTACCTCAAGGAACTAGAAGGGAATAAACCAAACTCAAAAACAGTAGAAGGAATGAAATAGTAAATATCAGAGAAAAAATATTAAAATTGAAAATAATAAAATAAAATAAAAAGATCAAAAAAACTGAAAAGTTTTGTTCCAGACTGACTAAAAAAGAGAGAAAAGATACAAATAAATAAAATCAGAAATGAGAAAAGAGATAGAAGAATCTGACCACAAAAATAGAAAGCATCATTAAAGACTACTACAAACAACTATATACCAATAAATTAGAAAACCTATAAGAAATGAATAAATTCCTGGATTCATACAACAAACAGGCATAGAAAAAAACATACCTCAAATAATAAAGACCATACATAACAAACCTACAGCTAATATTGTACCGAATGGAAAAAATTTAATGGCATTTCCTCTAAGACCTGAAACAAGACAAAGATACCTACTTTCACCATTGTTATTCAGTGTAATACTAGGAGTCCTGGCCAGAGCAACTAGTCAAGAGAAATAAATAAAGGGCATCCAAATTGGAAAAGAAGTCAAATTAGCTATGTTCACAGATGACATGATCTTAAACTTAGAAAAACTTAAAGACTCCATCAGAAAACCGATAGAACTGATAAATGAATTCTGTAACATTGCAGGATATAAAATCAACATACATGCATGCCAACAGCAAACAATATTTTTAAAAGCAAGAAATAAATTCTATTTATAATAGCTATAAAGAATATAGGCTGGGTGCAGTGGCTCACGCCTGCAATCCCAGCATTTTGGGAGGCTGAGGTGGGTGGATCACCTGAGATCAGTAGTTCAAGACTGGCCAACATGGTGAAACCCCATCTCTACTTAAAATACAAAAAAAAAAAAAAATTTAGCCGGGAGTGGTTGTGCAAGCCTATAATCCCAGCTACTCAGGAGGCTGAGGCAGGAAAATCACTTGAACCTGGAAAGCGGAGGTTGCAGTGAGCCAGGATTGTACCACTGCACTCCAGCCTGGGCAACAGAGAGAGACTCCATCAAAAAAAAAAAAAAAAAAAGAAAGAAAGAAAGAAAAGAAAAGAAAAGAAAAGAAAAGAAAAGAAAAGAAAAGAAAGAAAGCAAGCAAGAAAAGAAAAAGAATATAAAATATCTAGGAATCAATTTAACCTAAGAAACAAAAGATCTATACAAAGAAAACTATAAAACACAATGAGAGAAATTGAAGAGGACACAAAAATGGAAAGTTATTACATATTCATGGATTAGAAGAACAAATATTTAATAATTAAAATGACAATATGACCAAATGCACTTTAAAGATTCAATCCTGGTCCTTTCAAATTACCAATGACATTCTTCACAGGAACAAACATACTAAAAATCCTAAAATTTATATGGAATTACTAAAGAGCCCAAATAGCCAAAGCAATCCTGATTAAAAAAAACAACAAAGCTGGAGGAATCACACTACCTGATTTCAGAATATACTACAAAGCTAAAATAACCAAATCAGCATGGTACTGCCATAAATGCAGACACCTAGATAAATAGAACAGAATGCAGAACCCAGATATAAGTCAATGCATTTACACCTAACTCATTTCAACAAGGGAGCCAAGAACATGCAATAGGGAAAAGACAGAATCTTCAATGAACAGTGCTAGGAAAACTGGATATGCAGAAGAATGAAACTAGACTTGTATTGTTCCCTATATACAAAAGTCAAATAAAAATAGATTAAAGACCAAAAATTATGAAACTACCAGAAGAAAATATTGGGAAAATACTTCAGGACATAGATATTGGCAAATATATTTTGTGTAAGGTCTCAAAAGCATAGGCAACCAAGGCAAAAATAGAAAAATGGGATTACATCAAACTGAAAAAGCTTTTGCATAGCTTTGTATCCATTGTTGACAGGAAACTATCAACAAAGAGAGGTGATAACCCACTGAATGGGGGAAGATATTTGCAACTATCCATCTGCCAAGGAGTTAATAACCAGAATATAGAGAATATTGAGTTGTTGAGCTCAAACAACTCAATAGCAAATTCATCATCATCATCATCATCCAATTTTTAAAATTGGCAAAAGATATGAATATACATTACTCAAAAGAAGACCTGCAAATAGTCAACAGGTATATTAAAAAATCCTCAACATCACTAATCAGAAAAATGTAAAACAAAACCACAATGAGACAATTCACTCCAGTTAAAATGGCTTTTATCAAAAAGATGAGATAAAGATGCTTGCAAGGATGTAGAGAAAAAGGAACCCTCATACATCGTTGGTGGGGATGTAAATTAGTACAGCAACTAACGGAAAACTGTGTGGAGGTTCCTCAGAAAACTAAAAATAAAATTACCATATGATCCATCAGTTCCACTACTGGTTATATATCCAAAAGAAAGAAATTCAATCTATTGAAGATATAGCTGTACTCCCATATTTATCACAATATCTTATTTTACAATATGAATCACCATTCAGAATAGCCAAAATATGAAATCAACCTAATTGCCCATCAAGGGATAAAAGGATAAAGAAAATATCATGTATATGTATATATGTGTGTATATATGTGTGTGTGTGTGTGTGTACAGTGGAATATTATTAGGCCATAAAACAGAAGAAAATCTTATCATTTGCAGCAACCTGGGTGGAACTGGAGGTCATTATGTTAAGTGAAATAAAGCCAAGTACAGAAAGACAGATGCTGTATGTTCTCACTCATATTTGGGAGCTTAAAAAGTGGATCCCATTAAGATAGAGAGTAGACTGGTGATCATCAGAGGTGGGGAAAAGTAGGGGGAAGACAGTTATGAAGAGAGATTGCAATCAGTACAAATATACAAATTTGATAGAAGAAATAAGACTTCGTGTTTGATATAGCAGTAGGGCAACTATAATTTACAAGGATCTATTGTATATTTTAAAATAGCCAGAAGGAAATAAATAAAATACTTCTAGCATAAAGAAAAGATAAATATTTAAGGTAATGAATTTCATAGTTACATTGATTTTATCTTTCCATTTTATATGAACATGTTAAATTATCACATGTACCCTGAAAATATGTACATCTATTATGTATCAATTAAAAAACTTAGAAAGTAGGAAAAAAATAGAGCAAACGAAACCTAAAGTGGGCCAATGGGAAGAATTAATCAAGATAAAAATTCAATGAAATAGTCAACTAAAAAACAATAGAGAAAACAAATGAGACCAAAACTTCTTTGAAAATATCAATAAAATAGATAAATCTCTGGTTAAACTGGAAGAGAGAAGAAACAAAACAGTAATATCTGAACCAAAGGAGGAAACAGCATTATAAGTCCAACAGACATTATCAGAATAATAAGCAATTATTATTCAAAAATGTCAAAAAGATGATAGCTAGATGAAATGGACAGATTGCTTGAATCACACAAAGTATCATAGCTCGTGTAAGGAAAATGATATTCTCAATAGTTCTATATTATTTAAGAACTCCAATTTTAAGTAAAAATCTACCCATAAGGAACTCTTCTAGCCCAAACAAACTTACTAGCAAATTACACCAAAATTTTAGTACCAATTGTACACAAACTCTTCTAAGAATTTGAAGAAGATGGAATACTGGTCACCTGATATTATGAAACCATCATTTCCCTGATATCAAAACTATTACAAGAAAAGAAAACTATCTACTGACATTGCTCATGGAAATAGATGCAATAATATTAAGAAAATATGTACAAACCAAACCTAGTAATATAAAAAATGTAATACATCATTAGCAAATGGAGTTTATCCCAGGAATGCAAAGCTAGTTCAACATGTGCAAATCAATCTAAGTAATTCACCACATAAACATCATAAAAAAGAAAAAAAATATAGTAATCTCGGTAGATGCACAAAAATCATTTGAAAGAATTGAATTCTCATTTAAGATAAAAACTCTTAATACACTAGGAATAATGGGTTATTCCTAAATCTGATGGCAGGCATCTAACAAAAACCTTTACCTAATATTATATTTAATGGAAACAAAGCAAATACTTTTTCCCTAAGACTGAGAACAAGATAGGAATATATACTATCATTATTTCTAATTAACATTTTACATGAGATACTAGACAGTTCAATAAATAAAAAAACAAAAATAAAGATATATAGATAGGAAATGGAGAAATAAAACTGTCTGTATCAGCTGATGGCATTTCCATACATAGAAAAAATCCCAAGGAATCTATCAAAAGCTTCTACAAGTAAAGAGTGAGCTTCTCAGTGTTTCAGGATACAAGGTCAATATATAAAAACAAAACAAAACAAAAAAATTATTCATTCGCTAGCTACACACAATTAGAAATTTAACTTTTAAAATATTACAACGATGTAAAAAGTAAAGATAAATCCAATAATAAATATGCAACATTCATAAGGCTCTAAACTACTACATGAAGAAAAATATTGATGAAAAAAGTGTTTAAAAGATCCAAATAAAAGGTGATATATATACTGTATGTATTAATTGGACTACTCAACATTGTTAGGGTATGAGTTCTTCTCCAACTGATCTATGGATCTGATGCAAGCCGAATCAAAATTGTAGCACATTCTTTGAGAAAGTGACAAACAGATTCTAACATTTAAATAGAAAAAAGAAGGATCCAGAATACTCCAAACAATTAAAAAAAAAGTTGGAAAACCCACGTAAACTGATTTTAAGACTCAATTTGAAGTTGCAATAAACATCACAGTAGTATGTTTGTGTACAGATAGATTTTTACATCAAGTGAACACAAGACGAAGTCCAAAAACTTAGCACCTCGCCCCTGATACCCAAGTGTGGTTAATTAATAAAATAACTTAATGGAGAATCATTTTTCCATCAAGGCAGCATTTGGTGGTTTGATGAGCAATTTAGCATGGAAGGAAGGAAGGAAGGAAGGAGGGAGGGAGGGAGGGAGGGAGGAAGAGAAAGAAAAGAAAGAAGAAAATAAAATAATAATGAAAGAAAGATAACAAAGCCATCTTAAACCCTACCTGCCAACATACTTACAACTCAATAGGAAACAAACAAACAAATAAAAGTTGGACAAAATATTTTAAGACACTATATAAAAAATACTCATTTAAAGATTCTCATAATTAATCATTAGAAAAACAGAAAATAACACCACTACACATTAACTACAATGGCTAAAACAAAATAAAAGACACAAAATTTACAATATCAAATGATGACAAATGTGCAAAACAATTGAAACAGTCATATATTGTTGGTTGAAATGAAAAGTAGTATAATCACTATGGAAAAAGTTTGGAAGTTTCTTAGAAATTGAAACATAGCTTTGTTATACTACCCAGCAATCCCACTCTAAGTATTTACACAAGAGAAATAAAAATGTATGTCCACACAAAGACCTGTATATTAATGTTTATAGAAGCTGTGTTAGTTTTCTACAGCTGACATAACACATACTCCAAACCTGACAACTTAAAACAACAGAAATTTTTTGTCTCATAGTTATAGATGCCAGAAGTTATGGATGTTAAGGTGCTGACAGGGTTGGCTCCTCCTGGAAGCTCTAAGGAAGAATCCATTCTATTCCTATCTGCTAGCTTCTGGTGGCTATTGGTAATCCTTAGTTAGCATTCCTTGGCTTGTGACACATTATTGAATCTCTGCATCCATCTTTACATAGCCTTCTCCCCTCTGTGTCGCTGTGTGTTTGCTCCTTCTGTATTTCATAGAAGGACATCCATCATTGACTCACAACCCGCCCTAATTCAAGATGGTCTTGTTTCAAGAGTCTTACCTTAATTATATCTGCAAAGACCCTTTTTCCAATTAAGGTCACATTCTGAAGTTCCAGGTGGACATACCTTTTGGAACGCCACATTCAACCCTCTGTAGCAGCTTTGTTCATAAAAACCAAAATCTGGAAAAGCCCAATATCCTTCAACTGGTGAAGGGATAAAAAAAGTTGCAGTATACCTTACTACTTGGCAATAGAGCAGAATGAACTACTAATACATGTAACAAAAAGGATATATCAGAAAGGCCTTATGCTAAGTGAAAAATTCCAAACACAGAAACCTAGATATGCTATGATTTCATTTACGTTGCATCCGAAAAAGGCTCAAAATTAATTTCTAAGACAAAAATCAGATCGGTAGTTGCCAGGGATTGGGATGAGAGATGGAAATTGACACAAGAGCAAGCTTTCTGGGGTGATGAAAATGATCAATAATAGAATTGTTTTGGTAGTTACATATCTATATATTTGCCAATGTTCATAATAGTTTAGACCAATCAATGCTCAAGCTAAGGAGAGTCTACTAAATTAAATAAGCAATGAGAAGATACTGAAATTTTGAGCAAAAATGTTAATCATCTTAATATATTAGAAAGAAAAAAAAATATTTGTAGGATGATTCAGGACATGCAAAGCCAAAAAGGAAGGAGATCAATTTTAGGAGTCTGAGCAGAAAATGTCAGCCTGGATGCCTCCTGTGGCAGAGGCATTGGGAAGTAAACACTGTCAGGAGACAAAACCACCCAGATATCTAATAGGAACCTCAAATTTAACATAGCTAAAACAAACGCCTAATCTTCTCTCTCAAATATGCATCTCCCGCAATCTATCCCATCTCAAGAAAGAGCAACACGACTATTCCAGTTGCTCTGATCCAAAACATAGGAGTCATCTTTGACCTTTATCTCTCAATCCCACATCTCCATTCATCAGAAAATCCTGCAAGCTCCATCTTTAACATTTATTCAGTCTCACTTCTCAATAACTTCATTGAAGGCATCCAGATCTAAGATTCCAGCATCACTCTCCTAATTTTTGCAATTGCTCTCTAACTGATCTTCTGCTTCTTTCCTTATCCTCTCCAGTTTTCCCTCCATTTATAAACACAGTCATCCTTTTAAGACATAAATCAGATTATTTAACTTTTCTGTGCAAAAGCCTCCAATGGCTTTCTTTCTCATAAAATCTAGGGTCCTACAATAGCCTAAAGGACCCTAGATAATTTGGTCTTCTAGTTCTCCTGACATCTCTTTCTACTCTTCCTCTAGTTTAATCTCCTTTAGTAATATTGGTCACTTCACTGTTCCTTAAGCACGAATAGATACGCTCCTACTTCAAAGCTTTTGTAATTACTATTCTCTGGGTTGGTCTAGCTATTCTTCTAGATAGATGCAAGGCTCGCTCCCTCACTTCCTTCAGTGTTTATTAAAATATTATCGTTACAATAAAGCCTTTCTTGAATACCCTATTTAAAATTGCACCCCTCATCCTAAGCTCTCTTTATACTTTTTCCCAACTTACTTTTCTTAATATTTCCCCGAATCTGAGATAACATATATTACATACATAATAATATGTGCATTATATATTTTTGAATTTCCTTGATTCAAAGACACAGAAATTTATATTTATAGAACATTTTAACATCTCTGAAATGAAAATGACTCACAATGGATGGAGTCTTATTTTAACTGGTAGCATGCTTTATGGTGATACTTGAAATAATTATGTATTTAAAAATCACTGGCATTTTAGATTTAATTAAATATTCAATTAAATGTGGCAAAACATTTATTGTTTATTTCTCCCGATGATAATATAAATTCTAAGCTTGGTGCCATGGTTTGAATGTGTCCCTTTCAAAATTCATGTTGAAACTTAATCTTCATTTTGGTAGCATTAAGAGATGGTTCTTTTGAGAAGTGATTAAGTCATGAGGGCTCTGCCGTCATGAATGGACTAATGCCTTCTAAAAGGGCCAGAGGGAACTAGCTCAAGCTTTTTTGCTCTTCTGCCTTCTGCCATACAAGGAAAAGGTCACAGAATGAGCAAAGAGGCACTATCTTGGAAGCAGAGAACAGGGCCCTCGCCAAACACTGAACACACCGATGCTTAGATTTTGAACTTCCCTGCCTCCAAAACTGTGAGAAATGAACTTCTATTATTTATGAATTACCCAGTTTTGATATTCTGTTATGGCATCACAAATGAACTAAGACAGAAGGATCTTTTTCTCTCTCATTTACTGCTATATCCCCATATCCTAGAATTGTGCCTGGATAATAGTAAGTATTCAATAAATGTTCACCCAATAGATATTGAATAAGAATATTAAATGAATAAATAAATGAATAGTGACTATCGAAGAGGAAGGTGCAGAGGAAGTATACGGCAATGAATTGGATGGGGGGAGTAATAATGTGTGTGACAATAAGGCTTAATGCAAGTCCTGAAGCCTAGACATTGGAATATAGGGTCAAACAGTTACCAGTAATAGGGAAATTGGGAGACAAAGCTACCCTGTGGTTGAACGAGGAGAAAAGAATTTTGTGTGGATAGTGTTGCATTGGAAATCTGGGGCTAGAATTAAAAAAAAAGTAAAGTTATGAGGATTGATGTCATCTGCTTTGAAAGGGATGAAATATAAAAGTGAATGGAGCTCCAAGAGGTGTGTAACAAAATAAAAAAAGGAGGGAGATAAAATCATCCTGAACAGCCACTGCTACTACAAGAAAAGAAGGAAAATGACCTGGTGAAGGATTCAGAGATCGATCAGAAAATAAGGAGTAGGATGAAGTGAGATAAGGTAAAATTTCACTTTGTCGAAAAGATCTCTGCATTACTAATTCTGTTTTGATTAATAAGTGACTGTTTACCCTTCAAAGCCAGACTTCATAATTATGCCCTTTTTGGATCCTTCTCTGACTCTTTTTCTTCTCTCCTCATATAACAGCTCTCTCTCTTGTGTTGCTTCTTTCCTTCTTTGATAGTAGCATTATCATAATACATAATAGTCAGTTATTTTGGGTTTGTCTTTCCAGTTCTTTGGAAGTTTCTTGGGGGTGAGACCACATCTTGGTCATCTTTGTAATACCATTACCTAATACACTGCCTGGAACATAATAGCACTGAATGTTTGCTGAATAAAGTATTAGATGAATAAGCAACTCTTCACAGTAGGCAGATTGCATATTTTGATCCCATTTTATAAAGGCAGAATTAAGGTGTGAAGAAATTAATTATTCTGGGCCTGATAGAAATAGATGATGCCCAAAATGGGTAATTCGATAAGAGTTTAGTAACAGGACTGCTTAAAAGGAATGGACAGGTGTAGAGAAACCACAAAGGTTAGAGCACACCCCTAGGGATTAATGGTTACTAGAACCTGGAGAAACAAACTTAGATAAAAAGAAGACTGTCTTTACAGGAGCAATGATGCTCTGGTAAGGGAATTAGTCAGCACTTGGTGATCCTGCAGGGTGAGAACCAACCTCATTCACTTCTTTCACTATATATCTCTTGTGGGTTAACCCTTCTGGTCAAATCCAACTGACAGCCATAAGGCAAGGAAGCTCAAGAAGTTCATAGAAGTAGGTTTCCCAAGGCAAAATTGGGTAAAAAGCAGAGGTGTCACTGAAGGGAAAAAGGGAAAATGCTCACAAGGGAAGCCAAGTAACTTTTACAAAGTAACTTTAGCTCATAACTGATAAAATCAGAAATCAAATTCAGATCTTTTGGCTCCAAACCTAATTATATTTTCATTATAGTATGTAACTACCTTGTCTAAATGGTATATAGAGACTAAATATTATGATATGGCCTGAGAAAATTTCACTAACTATGAGTTATATTTTTAAGAAAATAGTTACATCAATTCAAATGATTTTATGAAATAAATGGGGATTACTTGTTTAAAAAAAGAAGCCCACAGGCTAAATTCCCTGATCACTTGTCTTTGTAAACCAAGTTTTATTGGAACACAGACACACATTTGTTGATGTGTTGTCCATGGTTGCCTTTGCACTATAACTGCAAAGTTGAGTTAATTAAGACAGACATCATAAGGCGTACAAAGCCTGAAGTATTTTCTATATAACTCTTTACAAACAAACAAACAAAAAATTACTGCCCCATGCTTTACAGAAGGAGAAGAGTTGAGGCTGTTCTTACACCTGAAATTAGGATTCTTGGTAAATTCAGGGACAAAATCTACAGAAGAGAAAGGCAGCTTAGTGTAGCATTATGACCATCAGAGTTGGTAGACTGGTTTGAACTTTACCTCCGCAGTTTACTAACTGTATGACTTTGAGTAAGTGATTTAATCTCTCTAAGCTTCAATTTCTTCAATTATAAAATATAGTTTAATAATAATATCTTGTAAGGCTATTGTGAAGATTAAGTGACAATGTAGGCATTCCAGAAATCCCAAATCTTATTATTGTGACTCTGTTGCTTTGTGGGATGAAGAAATAATAATAGTTAGGAATCATAAAGTATTATACATATTGTTTTAAGAAAGACAGTTTTGATTTCTATGCCAGTAAAATTGCGTAAACATATTAAATTACAATGTTATATTTTGTTATGCCAAGGAGTAGTAGATGAGTTCTTAAGAAATAAACCCCATTCTTGTGGAAGAATATGTTGTAACCACATATTCTCCTTGGACAAGGGTATTGATATAACCACTTTCTCCTCTGTCCCTAGACAAGGTAATTGGTCTCCTGCCTAAGAGCTTATGTGTTAAAGTTTGACAATTGTTTCCTAATTACGCTGGTGATGGATTGATAAGACCTGACATACGCTATTCCAATTACTGGGCATTGAACCTTTTCAAAGAGCTGGATATTAGAGTAGGAGGTAAGCTTGGGCAAGTCACAGAGTTTAGATTGATCAATCAAATGACCAATTCTGTGTTTGAACTCCCTCAACACACCAGTAAATGAATAGCATATGAATTTGGTGTCAAGTAATAGGTGAGCAGAAAAATATAAATGGATAGATAGATAGAGGATTTCTTTTGGCCCTTTGATTATCCCCTCTAGGAGTGTCTCTGGTGTTAAGTCCTATGCTCTTTGAATTATGCAGAGTACTTTCTTATTTCTAGCGGACTATTCTGGAGCAGATGTAAAATGCTTATCACAGTGCCAGTATCTACAAAATAATAAACATTCAATACACTGTATCAATTATCTTTACAGAGAAAACTAAAGATTTTAAAAAGCAGGCTGGACAATGCTATGGGGACAAATTGGAGGACGGCAAAAATGTCCTATAAGGAGGAGTCTTGTAATGCAACTTTCAATACAACTAAGAATTAACAGGTAAAGGAGATGCAGAAAGAAAGGAAGGATATTTGTTGGTTCTGTTTTGCCACTGAAAGGCATTATACAACTTGCTGAGCAGAATGTGCCTTGAATAGAACACCTAATGCTTAATCCTTGTATCTCAGATCATCTGTCCAAGCAGTGATCCCTGAGCAGAGACCTCACCTGCTACTTAGTCCCAGAACAAGGGCTACTCAGGGAAGAGACCACACTTGGCCATTGTTTCATTTATTTGAAATACTTTATCATAGAGAATGTATTAGTCCATTTGCATTGCTGTAAAGGAATACCTTAGACTGGGTAATTTATAAATAAAACAGATTCGTTTGACTCACTGTTCTGCAGGCTTTACAGGCATGGCACTGATGCAGAACAGATGAGCCCCAACTTTGCAGCTTAGCCAAGGAGGGTTCTTGGTTTTGCCTAGGAAAGAATTCAAGGGCAAGCCAATAGTGTCAGACAACAATCTTTTATTGAATGGCACTGCTCCTTGAGAAGCAGGGCTAATTCATAGGCAATACGCCCAGAGTCAGGAACATATGGGCTCTTGGCAACTGTATTGGCTCTTGGTAAACCCAATTTAAATTGCATGCACATTAAGGGGTATGTCAATGCAAATTGAGAGGTGGGTCATTTCGAAATTTTTTCTAGAAAAGGGGCAGTAAGTTCTGGCTCTTACCATAGCAACTGCAAACTGTCATGGTGCTAATGGGAGCGTCTTATGTCAGTGAACAATGAGAGTACCTAGGGATTGCTTTCATCACCATTTGCTGGTTCCTGATGGTTTCTTCACTTTATCCTGTCTGGACCAGATCCCGTTTTGGTCAGCAGGGTTGTGACTAGAAAAAAGTCCTTATGGTCTCCTACCTCATCTCCCACTTGGAGGTAAGATATTTCTCCTTAATATTACAGGAGCTGAAAAAGGGTGGTGGTCCATCTTCCGTAACAGCTTCTTGTCAATTTTATGGGTGTAGGCCCTGCCTAGCATTGGAGGTGTGTGAATCTCTAGATATCTGATCTAAGGGACCAACAGTAGGATGTTTTCATTTTCCATGTCAGCAGACAGGATGGATTGGAAGCTTTGTGCTAGCATCATCTTTATGTGGAATCTAGAAGATATAAAATTTACTAGGAAGTTAAACAAGTAAATTGCAATTAGGCAGAAGAGAAGAATTGATGCTACTATGTCCACCCACAGCATCAATTATTTAACTATGTATTTGTAAAACAACAAACTTAAGTTTTCTAGGGTTTTCAAATGCAGGTTGTGGTGTCCTTCTTTTATCCCTGTAGGGACTCATAAGAAACAGTTTAACTCTGGACAGTTGTACCCAATTAGTGATGACCTGAAGTTTAACAGCAGTAGGGGTACTTAACAATACCTGATAAGGGCCATTTTATTTTGGTTGTAATTAATCATCAGGTGATCTTTTTTTAAAGATTTTATGAAGACTAAGTCTTCTAACTGAAGAGGGGAGCTATATTTTCATTTGTGGGTAAGGGCAATACTTTGATTTCATGATTTTTTGAAAGGCATTTAAATCTGGCTTAGATTTCAAGGGGGAGCATGGTGAGGTGTGTCTGACCCCTGGTTTCCTGTCACGACCAGAGTTAGTTTTTTTTTTAGGTGTCTTTGACATTCCCTTTGGCCAATTAAACATTCTAGGCCAGATGAGAATGAAGGTGGGCAGGTATCATTAGTCCTTTAAATTATTTAAAGCAATGTGAGAGTCAAAATGTAAAAGCCAAAAATAAGGTTACACATCAAGAAAAACCAAAACCATAGACTCAAGATATATCGGGGAAAATATGTCTCTCATAGACGTCTAAGACAAAATGCTTTAGCATCAGGCTACAATAATAGAGTTGGAGGAGAAAAACTCACAGGAGCTGACAAAAAAAAAAGAGCTAAAGGATAGACACATCATCATAATCCTTCTTATAGAGAAAAATAGATGAAAGCAGCAAGACACAACAACAGTTAAATCTCTGAGATACAAATCCAAGAAGTTTCAAAAGAAACTATTTATGACATTACAAGAAACATTTCTGATAATTTAACAAATAAATACCTTCCTTCTCATGTCAGGGGCAGATTGAATAAGGGGCAGAGGCTGGCATGTCAGGGGCTCTCATCTTGACATCCCAGATGCTGATCTTGTGACACTCTCTCTTGTTGGGCAACCCTGAGGTGGCAGGGGGCTTAAAGCAGCCATTAGTAATTGTACTTTCTGGCTGTTTCTTTTGGCTTTGTTTTTCACGTCTTTGCAGTGTCCCTAGTGTAAACTTTATAGGCTACATTTAAGAGCTGGCTCATAGGAGTCTGAGGTTTCAATGCTGCTTTTTGTAGCTTCCTCCTCATGTCAGGGGCAGATTGAGTAATAAAATAATTTCCAGAAGAGAGTGCCCTTCTAGGGAGTCTGGGTCTGCATTAATATATTTCCTGAGTGCCTCAACCAAATGACCCTGAAACTGAGTGGGATTCTTGTCTTCTTCCTAAGGTATTTCTCTAACCTTGCTACAATTGACTGGCTTCGCCACATACTTTTTCCTGTTTTTTTATGCCATGGCACAGCAAGCAGTTGACAATACTTGCAAGTCATGAAAAGTTAAAGAACATGATCAACTTAAAAAACCTCTCTATGAACTTTTCTGGTTTCTCTGAAAACTGGCCATATTTTTCCCCGTACAAAGTCAAATCACACATAAAAAACGGCACATGAACTCTAAGATTTACCTCATTTTCATCAGCTACCGCCCGCAATGGACACAGATTTGATTTTAAGGGTTGATATGAAACCCCATTCTTCGTGGTACTGGTTTGGCTTACTTTCTTGGTCAGTAGAAGGTATAGGCTGTGGCTTGTTGGATAAGTGGGATTGGTGCCTGATGATCTTGAGGTGGAATCCTTCATTAGGTTGTGGGTGGGACCCACCTCAGAACTGGGGGACTATAAAGAGACTCTGGAGAGGGTGTTAGCCTTCTAGGGGGAGCAGCTAGGAGAAGATTCCTTAGGAATGGTTTCCTAGAGGTACCATGAACCAGTAAAGGGTCATAAAAGCCTGAACACAAGGGTCCTCTTCTCATTTCCCTTCCTTTTCACAGAATAAGTATAATTGTAAAATAGCGTTATAATTAATAGAAGCGTCTTTAGGCCAAATCTCTTAGTTTTCTAATTTGTATTGAATCCAAACAGTGTTGCAATAGAAAATAAGTTTCTTTTTCTTTAGTCAAATTCGAATGTGCTTCAGTAGCCTGATGGATATCCTAATGGTGAGTCCTGTGGTATGCCAGTCATTGTCCCCATGTCTGACAAGGATTTTTACTGGACACAGAAGTTTTTCTAAGTATAGCAAGAGAGACAGCAAATGGGCCTTTGCAATTTTTCCCTTTTAGATTCTCATTTCCTACAGAGAAGGTGTAAGTATAGGTAGCAAGTCATTACAAAAGTGGATTATAAGTGTTTGCCAGTGAATGAAATAGGACAAAAGAAGTATTTTTATTAAAGCATAGAAGGAAAAGTGTAAATAAAGTAACAATGAGAAAAAAAAATCTGTTACAGAGAATAACTTTAGGGCAGAAAACAAGAAAAGGCAAGACTAAGATTACCCTAGGGTGGGCCCACAGTTCTCCAGAACCCACAGCTCTGGAGGAAATGTCAGTGCCAAAAACCTGGTAGCACCCAAGTGGCAGCCAAAAATAACAAATGCCAAAAAACCTACAGTGCTCAACTATCAGCCAAGGAGGATCCCCACACCAAATGCCAAAATGCTGGAGCATCTGAGGGGCAGCCAATAGTGAACTCCAAAGGCCTGGTTAGGTCCATATAACAACATGACTCTGGCATCTCAGAGTCAACATAACAAGGGCCTTTCACAAACATGTGTCCTGCCTTAAACAATTGCCCAAATACAGTTAACAGAAAGTCAAATAAGAAAAACAGAACTGCAAACAAAACATACATTTTAGAACTGAAAATAAAATGGGTGCTGGAGCAATAAAATGAAGTCCAAGAAAAAGGACCAGGAGAAGGGGTGACAAGGACAGGCTTCAGGTTACCCAAATGATGTAAGAATTTAAACTGACCACCTAGCCAGAAGTTTTATTCCCTAGCTCACCCAATATTGGGAGCAGGGGATGGAGGGACATTCACCCATCCACAGGAGCCAAAATGATGCCAATGAATCTTTGTGTGGGACCTGGGTGAAGGTCTCTCTAGGTTCCCTCAGCCCAGGTGGGCTTCACTACAATGTAGGGACCAGTGACCTGATAGCCTACTGGCTGGATTGACAGATCTCACATGAGGTGATGGTACTATGGCCACATGCCCTTCCCCTCAACTCTGCCAGAACAGATGACGGCTCTTGAAAGAGACTTTGACTAATGTTACAGCTTGGTAGCACTAATCACCTTCTCACCATCTCTCACCAATTGCCACCTCTTGCCATCTCTCCATCTCGCCATCTCACCAATCACCACCTCTTGCTGTCTTGCCATCCCACAGACCGCTGATTGCCATCTGACTGTTTCTCACTGTCTCTCATTGTCTTGCCTCTTTGCGGATCAAGACCATTTTGCTGTCTCACTACCACATCAGTTATGGCCTTTCATATGCTATCTTCATTCCTTTGTAGTCACCAAATGTTGCAGGACAGGCAAGCCCCAGCATTGGGGCTAGCCTGGGAGGGTTCTTGGCTTTAGCTGGGAAAAATTTCAAGTGAGAGCTGGTAGTGTTAGACAGTAATCTTTTATTGAACAGTACTGCTCTTTATGGTCAGCTAACTCACAGGTAGTGTGCCCAGAGCCAATTTATGAGCTCTTGGCAACTGTAGAGGCTCTTGGTAAACCCACTTTCAATTACATGCAAATGAAGAGGCACGTCAATGGAAATTGAGGGGTAGGTTATTTAGAACTGTGAAGAAAAAGGCAATAATTTTTGGGTCATTGCCATGGAAAGCAGTGGTAGCTTCCAAGTCATTGTCATGACATTTGTAAACTGTCATGGTGCTGTTGGGAACATCGTATGGCAGTGATCAATGAGGGGAGGTAGGGATTACTTTTGTTGCCATATTCTGGTTTCTACTGAGTTTCTTTACTTTATTTTGTCTGGACTAGATCCTGTTTTGGTCAGCAGAGTTGTGAGTAAAAAACAAGTCCTGCTAGTCTCTTACCTCAGCACCAGAATGTGCTCAACTTGTGGTAAGTCTCAGGGAGCTTACAATCATGGAAGAAGGTGAAGGAGACGGCCGGTGTATCACATGGCAAGAGGGAGGCAGAGAGAGAGAGAGAGAGAGGGAGGGAGAGAGAGAGAGAGAGAGAGAGAGAGAGAGAGAGAGAGAGAGAGAGAGAGAGAGAGAGAGAGAGAGAGAGAGAGAGAGAGAGAGAGAGAGAGAGGATATAGATGCCAGGCTCTTTTAAACAACTGGATCTCATATGAATTCATAGAGTGAGAACTCACTCATTCCCACTATGAGTACAGCACCAAGTCATTCATGAGAGATCCATTTCTATGACCCAAACACCTCCCACTAGACCCATCTCCAGCATTTGAGGTCACATTTCAATATGAGATTTAAAGGGTGCAAAATATCTGAACCATGTCAAAGAATATGTTATGTATATGGGTTTAACTAGTGTATATATATAAAACATATATTTTCTAATATATAAATATATATTCACTTTAGATATGGTAAATTAATATAAGTACCCTAATCATGATACACCCTTCAAAAGAAAATAGTTAACATTTGAAAGACTCTATTCAGAAGCCTACTTCAGAGGTAGTATAAAAATGAATAAAGTTTGGGAAAAGATGCCTAGAGACATGAGAGTTCATTCTAAGATACATAAGATCACACAAGAAGGCAAGGCTTTCTTTCCCACAGCCAGGCTTCATAAAGTGTGGAAAAATTCTGTATCAAGATGATCATATCTGGTGATGCCTGCTCTAGGGCTTCATTGTCACGATGGTTGACCACATAATTTTGTTTCCCTTGTTCCAAGCACAACTAATTAACCATCTTTCTCTGTATATTTCTCAAGATTATTATACTCCTTCAGAGAAAATCTGATTGGCTTATTGAGAAAGCATACAGATTGGTGAGTCCCCGTGTGTCCATATGGCCAGAGTTTTCACACTAGGCAACTTCACAGACTTTTGGATAGCCTATACTGACTGAATGACTTTGGGTAAAATGTTTACCTCTGATCCAATCTGCAATAAACATTATATTTTGATTTATGTGAAATGTTCAGAACAGGCAAATCCATAGAGAAAAATGTAGATTAATGCTTGCCAGACATTGGGAGGGTGGCAATTGGAAGTGACTACTAATGGTTATAGAGTTTATTTCAGGGGTAATAAAAACAACCTAAAACTGATTGTGAGACAATTTTATAAACATACTAACATACATCGAATTGTATAGTTTGAAAAAAAAAATTAATATCTTCTCCAATTTTATACTCTCATAACCAGTCCTTTTGTTCATTGAAATCTTTACCAATTCTTACCAGGATTGTTTATAACAGTATCCTAACTTGTTATTCTACCTCCACTGCTGCTTTCAATCCATCTTCCACACTACAGCCAGAAAGGGCTTTCTAAAATCTAGATCTGATGTTCACTCTCCTGTTTAAAATCAAAAGTGACTCCAACTACTTACAGTAAAAAGCACACCCTTATGATGGCTTCAATCCATCTTTCAGCCCCAGCATCACTGACAGATTCTATTCTACCTACATATGAAGCACCTTGCCACACTTGCCAATTAACTCTTCCCTCACCTCTTACTTCATTTTCACATGCTCCCTGTCTCTGCCAGATGTCCTACCCACTTTTTCTAAAAGATATACTTATCTTCGAAAGGGCTCCTTGCTAACTTATCTGAGAAGGGTACTCCAACTCCTGAATAAAATGAGCCACTCCTGCATCATTGCTTCCATGGCTAGTGGGTCACAGAGGACACAGCTTTAATGATGTGTTTTCTGTCTTTCCCTGGGCAGAATCTTCATTTTACACATGTTGACAGCTCCACTCCCCAAAGCATTGGAAGACTCAATAAATACTGAGTACAATAGGTAATACATACATGAACATACGCACAACATCAGTAGTAATCAGTGAATGAAGCCAGATTTGGTGCTTTTCCCAATATACCACTATTCTCTCCAATTCCTAGATAGATACACAGCTACTTTCCCCCTAATTATTCAAAAATTCCATTACATGGCTTGCCATCACTCTCCAAGTCCATCTGTGTTTTCTTTGCTAGTTTCAATAGGCACATGGATCAATTTTCTAATATCATAAGCCTCATCTTCTTTAATGATCTTGTTCTGCCAACTACCTCTGCCACTCATTTCTGAGGCCTACCCTAGACTATTATTAAGAACAAGTTTTGCTTTCTGTAAACAATCCTTTGATCCCACCTGTGCCTACAATAGATTGATCTTACCACCACTTTACTGTCCTTCAACTCCTCATGTCTCCACTTTCCTCCTAATCCACTTAACTCTCTTGTCAAACATTATGTGAACTCTTTTACATGTGTCCTCATATCCCTTACCCCTCTTTCCCTCTATCAGACTTTCTTATTAAATCACCAACTCAAGTTGAATCTAAATTTCCACCTACTTTAACCTGAGCCTGCATAGCAGAATATGACTGGCAACAAAAGGCAGAACTATACTTTTTGATCTCACTTTAAATTTGTAACTGCCAACTTCGAGTGTGTTCTTTGTGCTGGCAGGCAATTATATATTTCTTTATGTATATTTCAACTCATCTTCCTACTTTCTTAGAAGATTATTTCACACCTTTTCATTTATTCTTGAACCTTCAATATCTGCTTTTCTCCTCTCACTCTCTTCTTATTCCACTGAGAAAGCAAAAGCAATACACTGCCTTCCCACCAGTTACTATGGAGAAACATTATTTCGCCTATGGCCAATTCTTCCATTCATGCCCTAGATCCTCTTTTCTCACTCAAAGACATCACTCCAATAATCACCTTTCTTTTTTCTTGCACCATTAATTTTTCACCTCCCTTCCCCAGTCTATTGGATTATATCTTTCACTGTGCAAACATGCTACACATTTCCCATCCTAAAACACACAAGATATAAGCAAAAATACAGAACAAAATGAAAGCTCTGTATTTATCTCAACACCATTCCTGACATAATCCCATTTCTCTGCTTCATTTCCAAGCAAGGGAATTGTTTATATTTACACATTTGTACCTCCTCTCTTCATTCTCTTATTCTCTACTGAAACTCTTCTGTCATAGTTACAGTAATTACCTACTGATAGACCCACTGATATCTTCTCAGTCCTCATCCTCTCAGTCTATCAGCAGCCTTTGATGTAGTTGCTCCTGTCTTCTTGAAACATTCTCATTTGGCTTCTAGGAAGTCACTCTGTTTTCCTCCTACTGACTGGCTACTCCTTTCATTCTTCTATGCTATTCCTTCTTATTTTTCAAAATTTAAAGTTTGAGTACCCCAGAAGTCAATCCTTGAATTCTTTCTTCTCTTTATATTTACTTTCTGCATTATCCATAACTTTAAATACTGTCTATAAGCTGATGAATTCCAAAGTTTTAACTAAACCTGATGTTTCTTCTCAACTCTAGTATTATATATCATATGTCCAACTACCTATCTCCAATTGGTATCTCAAATTTAACAAGCCCCAAATTTGACTCTTGATCTCCCTAACATCACAGTTATACCTCCTACTCTGTTCACAGCTTTTGCAGTTACTCAAGACAAAAACTTTGGATTGCCCTTAATTCCTCTCACACCTCACATCCAATCTATCAGGAAATCGCTTTGGTTCTGCTTTTGAGTCAACACTCAGTGACTTTCAGCACCTCATCCACTGCTACCCTGGTTCAAGGCAGCATCATCGTGTGCTTGGATTATTGCAATAGTCTCCTATCTGGCATTTCTGCTTCTACCTCTGACCCCTGTAAACTCTTCTTTACACAACATCCAACAGTGGCCCTCTTAAAATTTCGGTTATATAATTCCACTCCTCTTCTCAGTATCTTCTAATGCTTCCCCATTTTATTCCAATTAAAGATCAAAATAAGAAATCCTACATCATCTTTACCCTCCCCAATACCTTTCTTATTTCATTCACTTTATTCTCCCTAGCTCAGTGTCTTCAGGTCACATTGACCTCTTTACAGTTCCTTGGAAACCCCAAGCATGTTCCTCCCTCAGGGCCTTCACATTTCCTGTTCTGTCTATAATTGTTTTTTTCTCTCAGATATTTTCATAGCTTGGTTACTCAATTCCCCCGGTTCTCTGCTCAATTGTCATCTCCACATAGAAGATTCCTTTGGCTATCCTGCATAAAATAGCACCCCAACAATCACTGTCTCTCCCTCTTACGTGTCTACCTTTCTCTGCAAAACTCATTAACACCTAACATATTATATATATATTTGTAGATGGTCACGTAGACCAGTGAAACTTACATGAGAGCAGGGCCTTTGCTTTATACACTGCTTTATCTGCAGCAATCTCAACAGTGCTAAGTTGTTGATAAATGAGTTATATTTGAAGAAATAATTCTTTAACAACAAAAACAAAGAAAAAAAGAAAGGAAGCAGGAATGATGGAAGGAAATAAAGCAAGCAAGAAAGGGGCCAGTGTGTTTTTATTAAAATGTTCTGTATGTAGAAAATATTCTATTTGTGGTAAGAATGCATATATAATTTCACACTATATTTTTAAATTTTAAAAATAAAAGAAAAAATATAAACAGAAAATATTCTAGAAACTTATGTCAAAATGTCAACAGAGTAAATATTTCAGTGGTGTGGTCATGGAAGGGGCGAGGGGGGACTCTTTTTTCATATCTGTTTTATTTTGTAAAATAAAAAAACACATTTCTTTATCCATTCATCTGCTGATGGACACTTCTACCTGTGAACATTTTTAAATAGAAAAACAATTCTTAAGAGAAATTATACAAGAAAAAAAAGAGATCTATATCCCCATATGTTTTTATTTTCTACACAGCTCAAATACTGGACTCTCTAAATTAAAACAGGCCTTGTTTTGCACATAGACAAGAGACTTTCCTTTCCATTCCTATTTCCCAGGGCTTTCTAGGATATCCCAAAATACCCCATGAAGTGCCTGTTACTTTATAGCAAATGGAATGTTTCAAGTCCAACTCCAGATGCAAAGCTTGGGCAAATTCAATCAGACAACCAGCAAGCATTTAGCATCTACCTGATTGTGAGCTAAGTACAGAGGAAACAAAGCACTCCATCTGTGCACCAAAGAGTTTATAAACTGTCAGGAAGAAATTCCTGAGTCTGCGTTTGGATCCTAGAACAATCTTTGATTGTGAGTAATACCTGTGCGTAGTTCTGCAGAAACACAGAGGAAAGAGTAACCAAGAATAGAGAGTGGAACCCTCCCAAAACACAGCCAGGATGCTTCAAGGATGCTTTGACCCCCTCACAGTATTGTGTGCCATGCGGTGCCCTCAGCTTTGTGACTCACAAAGGAGCTGTAGTAGGGACATGTTGAGGACACCAGGACCAAACTCATTCGCTACTACAGAAAGAATTCGAGTTCCTTCATCCCTTAATTTCCTGTTAGCTTTACATTTTCATACTCAACCTGTACCTCCTCCAAGTATTATGAAATTCCTACACAAGTAGAAGTCCTAAAAATCTAGAAAAGGACAGGATAGGGCTTCTGAAAAAGGACAATATGTTCTGATTGTGTCTCTGGAAAACAGAGGTCTTAATTCATTACTATTGCAGAACCTTAGTTTTCTTATCAGTAAAATGGATGGATTTCAGAATTGAATACAAATACATATTTACCAATTTACAAGAGTATCACTTTATCAATACTTTACTGCTCATGCTTCTCTTCTTTCCAAAGTCAGCCTCTCTAGGAAGCCATTACCTGTCCTTGTGATTTGATTTATCAAGGGGAATGGTTAAACATCGGAATTGCTTCAGAGCCTCTTCTGAGCCACTGTAGAACAGCTGAGGTAGAGATGCAGTAATACATAAATAAATAAATAGAGTCTTATTTGGTGGTGGCTTCCTGGTTTCTTGTCAGAAATTTGGTACACAGCAAACAGGAAAGGGACACATATTTCAACAATAGAAAGGACGATGGAATAGAGAGCCTGCTATGAACGAGGTGGGACAGCGTACCAGAAAGACAAATGCTAAGGTCAGAACAGGATTTGAATTCATCCTTACTCTGTGTGACCTTGTGCAAGTAACTCAACCTCTCTAAGTCTGTGTTTATTTGTTAAGAGAAAACTTAAGTCTATATTGCAGGTTTGCTATGCCAACTAAATAAAGTAATGTAAGTAGAATGCCCAGTACCCAACATTCTCTCAGTAGCAGGACATATTAGTGGAACAGTGGAGATATGGCTTTTAGCCAATATTCTGTATCTTAGCTAGTTGCATGACCTCATAAACACCAGTGAACATTCTTGAACTTCAGTTTCATTCCTACAATGAGTGCTGGGATAATAACCTGAAGATCTTTCCATTCTCTGTTTTTAATGCAACATAACTTTTTGAAAGAATGTGTAAAATAGGTTGGATTTTCTATTTTACTAAAGCCTTACAGAAGCACCTCTGAGACTCAATCAGTGAAACAAACCCAAGGCCACGCTGTAAGTGTGCTTTACAGCTTACTTGAACTTGCTATTCTTATTAGAACCTTGATTTATTAGATAATAGCGAAGGCATCCTATATGTTGCTTATACTTGTGGTATCTCCTCCAGGTACAGAAAAACCAAACAAACCCTACATTGTTTAAAAATAGCCCATTTTCATTTTGGGTCTTCATACCAGGCATGATACTGAAAAATATTTTTTTGTTTTCTTTTTGTTGCTATTATTTTTTAGTAAGAAAAGCAGATTCTTTTTATAAAAGCTAATTAAATCCTAAATCTTGTATATTTTTAACTGGACATAGAGTGGACCAAAGGAAATAAAAATGTGTTCTTATATGTTTGTTTTATTTCTAATAAAGCTCTTTAATCATTTCTGTTTGTTTTAAAAATTATTAAAAACCAATAGAACTATATTTGATCCTTAAAAATCAAACGTAATTGAAATAGAATGAGGAATTTATTTATGCAGTTTTATCTTATGCAAACTGATTATGTATAATATGTAAAAAATGCAATAAAATGGTGAAAATGAACTCTTGGGATTTAAATCAAGCCTGGCTTATCATTAAATATTTAATGACTTTTATGCCCTAGAGCTCAAGGAAATCCCTTTCCTTGTTATGTTATTTTGTTTTTTTAATTTTCACAGAATTCATCACCTCTTCTTAAGTCTCACAGGTTTTCTTGATGTGACACTCCGAAAATCAAAACGAGGGGAGAGAAAGAGAACTTCAAATAGATACAAGTGGAAATTATTTTTAAGTCACATTAACATTCCATTGTTATCAATTAGAATCTCCTAAGGGGAGTAAATCAATCCGAAATATAAGCATAGTTGAATTAAAGCACAACATGGGGGCACTTGTGGTCATGTGCACACCTCCTCACCCAAACACATAGCCCTACTCATGGGAGTCTAGTGTGTAGGAGAATATGTTAAGATGTCCTAGCTAAGCCACCTCCAACACCAGTGATATTTGATATCCTCCTAGGACAAGAGTGTTGGGTCAAATCTTTCTAAATCTAAATATATGATTGTTACAGAGCACACTCTTAGTACATAGGGTCAAGGCATGTCTTTCGCTTGGTGATATTTAAATTTCAATTTATATTAAAATAATAATTTATTAATATAATAATATTTTCACAGTTCAAGATGTCAAGGATTCTTCTAAATACTTCAAATAGGTTATCTCATTTAACCTGTTTAGGAATTCCATGATTAAGAACTTCATTCTCCCAGTTTTATCAGAAAGTGTTTAGGCTGGTCTGAAGGTAATGAGTTATCTTAACTGATTGTTCACAGTCAGTTACAGATCAAACCCCTTGTTTTACTCTCCTCCCTTCTCACTAGTGCACTTGACTCATCTTAGAAAAAGTGTTTAATCATGAGTGATTTTTGATAGTTTTCCTTAATAGCAATAAAACACACACACAAAGACAAAACAACAAAGATTTTTAAAAACACCTAAAAAGTTGAAAAGTCACCCCCGCCTGTTAACCCAAATCCAACGAAAAAGAATAGTACAATACTGACAGATGCCATAAATTCTGATTCAAGGTCAGCCAACATAAATCGAAAACATTTGTGGAATGGCCGTTTTAAGGGAGCCTAGCTAGCATTCCTGAAGGGTGCCAGAAAAGAGGGAGTGGTGAGATTGTGTGGAACTGTAAAACTGTAAGAAAATCATGTAAGAAAGTCTTTCCGATGGCATGTTAATATTATAATTCATCGTCCAATTGTACTTGGTATTTCATATTTTATATTCCACTAATCCAATCCATCAAAGAATCTGGCTCCCTGCTGTGATTAAAATAGATTATTAAACATTTCTGGGGAAAATTTTCATGGCTATATTCATTCTGTTATTAGAATTATAGTTTATGCAAAGTTAAGGTGTAAACCTCAATAGCATTTTGGAAAGTACATTTTATTGCCACGGATTTAAAACAAACTAAGGTGATCATATTAGTTGTTGAAAATTGTAATAACACTTTGGTAGAATAAATGTATTTTTAAAACTGCAAGACACAAAGACTTGACATTAATTTTAGAAATATTATGGACAGGCAGGTTTTGTAGGAGCCTGTAGGTTATAATTTCAAGTAGACAAAATAGTTCTTAGGAAACCCTATCATTTACTTACTTTTTACTTTACCATTTATCTTTACTGTCATAGTACTTCTCCCCAACTGCTAGGGAATAGGATGATCTTTCTCAAGGATACTGAATAAAAGGAGGAAAGAGGAGACTAAAATATAAGTTTAATCTGTTCTCCTATTGAAAATGACATTGCTGTAATCTGACATCAGGTTTTTGGTGTCTGCAAATGTTTTCCTTCTCTTCATGTATTTATCACTCCCTCCCCAACACACACCTGGAAAGGCCTTCTGCTGGGTATCCACAATGGTTACAAGTAGGTGTAGGAGAGATGGTCATAAATTGCTGTGCTCTTTGGATATTTTTAAACATCAATGACGGAAGTGGAAATTAATACAAGCTTTCTGAAAATAATATTCACATGGCTTAACATTTTTTCATAATCTTTGATTCAGCAATTTAACTTCTAAGAATCTATTACAAAGAATTAATTGAGTAAACAAACATTTATCTTTGAAACATCATTTAAAGGCAAATTATTTATAACAACATAGATATCCAGCATTCATGGTTTGGTTAAATAAACCACAGTATATATTAATATAATATGATTTATATTCACCTTCAAAATTTACGCTGTATAAAAATATTTGATGAATTAGAAAGATGTTCATTACAAAGAGAAAAAAATTAGGTCCCAAGACATCATGTTAAATACAATTCCATTTAGGCAGACAAAAAGGCAGGTTAATGTGAATAGTGTATCACTCATGAATTTTGCATTCATTTTATGTATTTTATTTAATATGCATATTTTATATTTGTTGTAAGAGGAAATATGTTATAAAGACACGGTTTCTGTTTCACACTATAAAAAATGTTTTTGATTTTCATGACCACAAAGTTGATAATAATATTATCAACAGCTGGTTTTAAGTAACCAACACATAAAAGTAATAATATACATAATTATGTTATTCAAATTATATAATCTCTATTTATAATTACACTATTATATTTATATACTATTAACATATTTATACTGCTTTCCATATAGAAATATACACTGAATATTAATTGTAATTCTAGTGGCATTTAGTGAAGAAAGAGTGAAAGAGGAATTGGAATGGTTACCTTGGAGATCCTGGAGAAAGTAGAAAAACGATGACAGCAAATATCTGTATGGTACGCACAAGTAAAGCTCTTAGGACTGTGCCAGGCACAGAGTGAGGGCTACATAAGCATCTGATATTGCTATTGTTATCATTGTTGTCAATCTTAACAAGAACCAGGATGTATGACTCTACTATTAACATACCAATTTTGCAGATTATAAAACCAGAGGATTAGGTTTTACTCAGGATACATGCCAGGTTGTATCAGACACCTCCAATACCATAGCTTCAATAGGATATAATGTTTTTTCCTCTATCCTAAAATATTCAAGCAGGTAGTCCACTGTTGGTAGGGCAACTCACCATTATCTGGGACCTGAACCCTTCTATCTTTTTACTCTTTCATTCTCAGTGAGGCTTCCACTTTGCAGTTCCAGATGACTGCTCTAGCTCTCAGCTTCATGTCGACATTCCAAAGGAATATGGGCAATACTTTCTTTTCATTGAAGGAAAAAGCTCAGGAATTGCACACAATTTCTGTTGATTTCACATTGACCACAATTTAATCACATGGCTATACTCATCTGCAAGGGACACTGAAGTGTACTATTTAGCTGAGAGTTCAAATACCCAGCTAAAAAGTATATATTCACGTAAGAAGGAGAAAAAGTTATTAGGTGGCAACCAGCAGTCTCTGCCACAGAGATGTTAAGGAGATTGCTCAAGAAAGCATGAATATTAAGTAATAATGCTAGGATTTGAATGTAGGCAGTGTCATTTCAGACAAACTCCCTTGCTCTGAAACTTCCTCTCCAGCCTATGAGTTAAGTCAAATAGGCATGATGATACAGGCTTGCACGCATCTCAGGCAAGTACCTAACAAGCATTTACAGCAGTTTCTCAATCTTTCTTAACCCACTCTCTTCTAATAAATATTACATTGTTACTCCCGTCTCCTCCCTTCCCTCATTAGTTTCACAAACACTAGATTCTGATATGTCATTCCACAGAGTGCCCTTTCCATTTCCTCCTATATATAATCCCATCTGCCATGCCCTTCCCTTTGTAAATGCGTGCTGTAATTTAACCTTGAGATTTTGACATATATCCTATTTCTTTTTTCACCCTTGATAATTACTGATTTAGGAAATTTAATATTTACTGAATGTCTAAGTATGTAGTGGCTCTGTTGTTTAATTCTTTACATAATATTGCTCTAAATACCATAGTGTTATTTTGAAGTAGACATCTTATTTTTTATATTATAGATGAATTAAGACTCTGAGACATATGATAACTTAAACTTATTGACAAGCATTTGAAATCTAGTGTGTCAGAGATAAGGCTACATGTTTACTGTCTATTTCATTTTTCTCTAGTACATTTCCCAGTTTCTCATAAAAGTAGAGTCTTCTGACTATGTTCTGGTCAGCACAATGTGGGCAAATTACATATACACCTTATCGGATTGGCTTTAAACCATGCCTCTAATCTTATATATTCTGTCTCTCTCCCGTTTGTTTACAGAAACAAAGGGCTCCAAGGTAGTGGAGCCACACAAGACAAGGCGTCTAAATAGTTGAGTTTCTATTTATAGAACAGTAGCTTTATAGAGTCACCTGACTAGCACCAGATCACGCTTTAAGTGAGAAGGAATCCTTTATTATACTAAGCCATTGAAACTTTGGAGTTGTTCCTGCAGTTATCATGGCTTACTCTAATTAATACACTGTGCCAGTTTTCAATTCATTGCTTCTCTGCTCCAAAGCCACCCTCTTTTCCTTAGTTTTAAATTCCAAAGGGAAACCTTGCAAACATTTCTCCTTTGCCAGTAGGCACAATGTAAAGCCTTGTCAGTAGAGGGTGCTAGTGAGATCCTGCAGGAGGGAGGGGATTCTCTTACCAGAGTCAGTGCTTTTTTTCTGGCTTCTATGGTGTGCTGCCAGAAGACAAGTGTCCTTCCTTACCAGCAGCCAGCTTTCTTGCCAGAAGGTGTCGTCAGTGAGGGTGGAAGACCTAGCGGTCCACAACCCCCAGTGAGTTTCAGTGATTTCCCAGAGAGTGGTTTCCTGATCATCTGCCCTGGCATGAGGCACCTAACTGAACTTTTCCCCTATCTGGTGGGCTTTGGCAACACTTTCTCCAACAAAGTCTGAATCTCAACTTGAAGCAAGGGGTGGGAAGTTGGGGAGGATCTGCCAAGTTTTTTCCCTCTTTGGATGCGCTCCCTCAGCCATAGAAGTGGCGGCTTTTCCCGGCATTTGCTATTCCTGGATTCTTTAGCGTTCTCTTTAACCAATCCTTCTTAATTGATCTCCTTTTACTAGTTATTTTCTTACGTTAAATGTCCCTTATTCAATTTACTGCATGTCTGTCCCTTACTGAAACTTAACTGATGTTTACACAAAATAAATACATAATCTTGAAAATTGGTGCCATCTAAACTATGGTCATATGAAAATATGGTCAGATAGAGGCAGATTGAAATGTGTCATTTGAGTCATGGTAAAACAAAATCTTTTGAGCCAGCCAGTCTTGAGTTTGACTACTGGCTCAGTCACTTTCTAGCTATGTGAACCTTGAAATAGTTGCTAAAGATCTCTGAGCTTTATAATTTCTTCATCTCTCAAATCAGGTTAATGATTATCTTGTGGTGTTGCTGTGACTAAGCAGCATGTGTACAGTAGTTGGCACAAAGTGGGCACTAAATAAACAGTATTTTAAATACCAATTCATGATGATTTTTCAGTGCCTGTGATTGAGCACTATTTCATTTACTTGTCATATTCAAATGATTGTGTCTCTCCATAAACTCACTGTAATTCTTTTTGTGGTTAGGGCCAAACAAAGCATTTATGAACCTTGCTTATCCTTTGTCCTCTCAATATTTGTTTCCTTTGCCAAAGAGAATAGCTCAATATCACTCTTCTCAAAATTAATCAGTATTTAAATCATTTATCAAATCCCTTCTCATGCTGCTTCTGGGAGACTCCATGGCCCCATATTATTTTGCACTTTCACAAAATTTTTATTTTCCATCCTTCTTTGATTACTCTCAATATTCTCTCTTCTCTAGAAATTTCCAGACCTTACTTTACAGATTTTTAATAATATTTACCTCCTGATTCTTGTATGGAAACACACTCTGATTAAAGCATTTTCATATTAATTTATAATGTAAATAACATCACATGTATATAAATTAATATACACCTTCCTCTATTACACCTTCCTCTATAGTAATTTAACAACATTATTTATTCCAAAAAAGTATTCATGTGCTTTATTTTTATTCTATAAGCCACTTGTCATTATCTTTTTATTTCTGGGCTGCTGACTGTTTCACTTGGATTAGCATCTTTTCCTCCATCGGCCATGTCTTTATATACTTTTTACTAGCAGAATACTTGAAGTAAAGCTGCCAATACCTATACAAATCTATGGCTATATTAGTCAGGAATGTTTGAGTTATAGAAAAATCAATGCAATCTGTTCTGAACAAATGAACAACAACAAAACCAAAGAGGAATTTATTGCCTCTTGTAACTAGGAAGTTAAAGGTTAAATCAGGACTTATACACAGTTAAACTAAGAGATTCAGATGGGATCTTCATTTCTCCCTGCCTTTCTTTTTCTTAACTGCTTGATTCTATGTATAGGTTATGTGTTCACCCAGCTGTCACATGGGGTGAGAAAATCATGGCCATTTCCTACAAGCCCCTTTTCTAAAGAATTGGAAAAAAGGCACAGCCAAAGACCCTGCATAGTTCAGCTTGGATCACAAGCACACCTCTAGACCTGTCACTTGAGCCACGAAGAATGAAGTACTCTGATTAGCCCATTGTGGCCAGAAGAGCAGATGCACTGACAAGAAATCCTGCCAGAATCACATGATACATGTAGATCTTTTATTTCTAACAATGTTTTCTTATCTATAAAATGTGTAATCATACCTCCCAATAGAGGTAGTAATGATGATTAAATGACATTATGTTTTGAAAAGATATAATACCTGATCTGAACAATGAATTATAGCTTCTAACATTTATTATAATGATAAAATAAAATGCAGAATGTCATGCAGTGGAAACAGAAACAGTCTTCTTTTCTTGATCCTCAACTGTATCTTTTGCCTCTTATTAACCCACTCTCCCTTCCCCCAATGAAACTGTAGACTTAAAGAGCAGAGACCCGTGACTTTTTTATTTCTGGTTTCCATGGCAACAGCTATCACAGAGAGAAAAAAAAGAAACTAACATATATTAAGCACTATGCATTTTGCTAGAGATCTTGACAAGTGACTTACTTAATGCACCAAACACAACAACTTGCTCAGAGCAGCGAATTGATAGCTATTTGATTAAGGAGTCCAATGAATACAAATTTATGTTACACATCTGGCATAAGGTAACTTCTTCAAAGTTCAGTTCAAGACAAAATAGAAAACATTGTATTTTATTACAAGTAATAGCAACTTTCTCATATTTGATATTTACAAAAAAAACACACTTTCATAAAGTTTCTTTGAGCTCTTTGAAAGACAATTTTGTTCTAATATAAAGCATGACCTGGGTCATCTGGAATTTTAAATTCCAGAGTCTTATGTCTACCATTACAGTTTCAGTGAGTACACTGCATTTAGGTATATACTGCCTGTGCCTGGAGGTTGATATTCTAAAAGTCAGTCAAATTGAAGAAAATAAATTAGCTTGATGATATGGAAAATTTCAGACTCATCAATGCAGTGAACAGTTTTGGACACACTTCCTAAAGGCATTTTACCCTTGTCTTCAAGACTTACTTTGTTTAGTTTATCAGCATTTCTGACCGTTTTTATTAGGATTTTTCATGATCTTTTCTTTTCCAATATTGGGAAATTTTCCGGTTGCTTGGGAATTCCAAGAAGCCAATGTTTTAAGACAGAAACAGCTCAGATGCAGCCAAGTTTAAATTCATACAAAATGCTAGTTGGAACATCTGAGAGCAAGTCATGAATTCAGAAGTGATGAAGTACTAGACAGAGAAGAGCAGCGATAAAGAGGCACACTCTAAAATTCCCTCCCGTGGAATAACAAACACCAGGACTACACACCATCGTTAAGCTAAAGTGATGCATCAAGGGAAACAATAGTTTTATACTGCTTTTTCCTGTGGTTCCACTTTTTTTTCTTATCACAGCTTTATTTTTTATTTGCATACCACAGATTTTGCCCATTTAAAGTATAGCATTCAGTGGATTTTAGTATATTCATGTTGTGTAACTATAACCAGAATGAATTTGAGAACATTTTTCTCATCCCCCAAAGAAAACCCATAGGCTTTATCTGTCATCCATGAAACCCTCCGAAGCCTAGGTGACTGCTAATCAACTTTGCATTTCTATTGATTTACCCTAGGGTCCCATATTTGACACATCCAAAAATATCTACCATTTTTTACCTAATAGCTTTGCTTATACTACTTCTTCAATTTTAAAAATAAGCATAGTAGTATCATAATATCTACATGTATTGATTACTTGTTATGTTTTAGCACTATACTAAGTGTTTTACATGTATTATTTCATGACAAACTACCTCTCACTGTTGTTAAGAAAATTGTTAATCTTTTCAAAAAAAAAAATACCTCCTGGATTCATTCGTTTGAAGGGGTTTTGTGTCTCTATCTCCTTCGGTTCTGCTCTGATCTTAGTTATTTTTTGTCTTCTGCTAGCTTTTGAATTTGTTTGTTGCTGCTTCTCTAGTTCTTTTAATTGTGATTTTAGGGTGTCAGTTTTAGATGTTTCCCACTTTCTCCTGTGGGCATTTAGTGCTATAAATTTCCCTCTAAACACTGCTTTAGCCATGTCCCAGAGATTCTGGTCTATTGTGTCTTTGTTCTCATTGGTTTCAAATAACTTATTTATTTCTACCTTAATTTCGTTTTTTACCCAGTAGTTATTCAGGAGCAGGTTGTTCAGTTTTCATGTAGTTGTGCAATTTTGAGTGAGTTTCTCAATCCTGAGTTCTAATTTGATTGCACTGTGGTCTGAGAGACTTGTTTGTTAAGATTTCCATTCTTTTGCATTTGCTGAGGAGTGTTTTACTTCCAATTATATGATCAATTTTAGAATAAGTGCAACGTGGTGCTAAGAAGAATGTATATACTATTGATTTGGGGTGGAGAGTTCTCTAGATGTCTATTAGGTTCACTTGGTCCAAAGCTGAGTTCAAGTCCTGAATATCCTTGTTAATTTTCTGTCTCATTGATCTGTCTAATATTGATAGTGGGTGTTAAAGTCTCCCACTCTTATTGTGTGGGAGCCTAAGTCTCTTTGTAGGTCTCTAAGAGCTTGCTTTATAAATCTGGGTGTTCCTGTATTGGATGCATATATATTTAGGATAGTTAGCTCTTCTTTTGCATTGATCCCTTTACCATTATGTAATGCCCTTCTTTGTCTTTTTTGATATTTGTTGGTTTAAAATCTGTTTTATCAGACACTAGGATTGCAACCCGGTTTTTGTTTTTGTTTGTTTTTTTGTTTTGTTTTTGCTTTCCATTTGCTTGGTAAATATTCCTCCATCCCTTTATTTTGAGCCTATGTGTGTCTCTGCACATGAGATGGGTCTCCTGAATACAGCACACTGATGGGTCTTGACTCTTTATCCAATTTGCCAGTTTGTGACTTTTAATTGGGGCATGTAGCCCATTTACATTTAAGGTAAATATTGTTATGTGTGAATTTGATCCTGTCATTATGATGCTAGCTGGTTATTTTGCCTGGTAGTTGATGCAGTTTCTTCATAGTGTCGATGGTCTTTACAATTTGGTATGTTTTTGCTGGTACCAGCTTTTCCTTTCCATATTTAGGCTTTCTTCAGGAGCTCTTGTAAAGCAGGCGTGGTGGTGACAAAATCTCTCAGCATTTGCCTTGTCTCTAAAGGATTTTATTTCTCCTTTGCTTATGAATCTTAGTTTGGCTGGAAATGAAATTCTGGTTTGAAAATTCTTTTCTTTAAGAATGTTGAGTATTGGCCCCTACTCTCTTCTGGCTTGTAGGGTTTCTGCAGGGAGATGCGCTGTTAGTCTGATGGGTTTCCCTCTGTGGGTAACCTGACCTTTCTCTCTGGCTGCCCTTAACATTTTTTCCTTAATTTCAACCTTGGTCAATCTGATGATTATGTGTCTTAGTGTTGCTCCTCAAACTATACTACAAGGCTACAATGACCAAAACAGCATGGTACTGGTACCAAAACAGATATATAGAACAGAGGCCTCAGGAAAAACATTACACATCTAAAACCTGGCTCTTTGACAAATCTGACAAAAACAAGCCATGCGGAAAGGATTCCCTATTTAATAAATGGTGTTAGGAAAACTGGCTAGCCACATGCAGAAAACTGAAATTGGACCCCTTCCTTACACCTTACACAAAAATTAACTCAAGATGGATTAGTGACTTAAATGTAAGACCTAAAACCATAAAAACCCTAGAAGAAAACCTAGGCAACTCCATTCAGGACATAGGCATGGGCAAAGACTTCATGTCTAAAACACCAAAAGCAATGGCAACAAAAGCCAAAATTGACAAATGGGATCTAATCAAACTAAAGAGCTTCTGCACAGCAAAAGAAACTATCATCAGAGTGAACAGGCAACCTACAGAATGGGAGTAAATTTTTGCAATTTATCCATCTGACAAAGGGTTAATATTCAGAATCTACAAACAACTTAAACATATTTACAAGAAAAAAACAACCCCAACAAAAAGTGGGCAAAGGATATGAACAGACACTTCTCAAAAGAAGACATTTATGAGACCAACAAACATATGAATAAAAGCTCATCATCACAGGTCATTAGAGAAATGCAAATCAAAACCACAATGAGATACCATCTAATGCCAGTTAGAATGGTGATCATTAAAAATTCAGGAAACAACGGATGCTGGAGAGGATGTGGAGAAATAGGAACACTTTTACACTGTTGGTGGGAGTGTAAATTAGTTCAACCATTGTGGACGACAGTGTGGTGATTCTTCAAAGATCTAGAACCAGAAATACCATTTGACCCAGCAATCCCATTACTGGGCATATACCCAAAAGATTATAAATCATTCTACTATAAAGACATATCCACACGTATGTTTATTGCAGCACTATTCCCAATAGCAAAGACTTGGAACCAACCCAAATGCCCATCAATGATAGACTGGATAAAGAAAATGTGGCACATATATACCACGGAATACAATGAAGCCATAAAAAAGGATAGTTCATGTCCTTTTCGGGGATATGGATGAAGCTGGAAACCATCATTCTCAGCAAACTAACACAGGAACAGAAAACCAAACCAAACACTGCATGTTCTCACTCATAAGTGGGAGTTGAACAATGAGAACACATGGACACAGAGAGGGGAACATCACACATTGGGGCCTGTCAGAGGGTGGGGGGCCAGGGAAGGGATAGCATTAGGAGAAATACCTAATGCAGATGATGGGTTGATGGGTGCAGCAAACCACCATGGCACATGTATACCTATATAACAAACCTGCACATTCTGCATATGTATCCCAGAACCTAAAGTATAAAAATAATAATAATAAAGGCCAGGCGTGGTGGCTCACTTCTGTAATCCCAGCACGTTGGGAGGCCGAGGTGGGCAGATTATGAGGTCAGGAGTTCGAGACCAGCCTGGCCAATTTGTTGAAACCCCACCTCTACTAAAAATACAAAAATTAGCCGGGTGTGCTGGCGCATGCCTGTAGTCATAGCTACTCGGGAGGCTGAGACAGAAGAATCACTTGAACCTGGGAGGTGGAGGTTTCAGTGAGCTATCGCACCACTGCACTTCAGCCTGGGCAATACAGTGAGACTCCATCTCAAAAAAAAAAAAAAGAAAAAAGAAAAGAAAAGAAAGGTGTTTAGGCCAGGTGTCTGGTGGCTCGCACCTGTAAATCCAGCACTTTGGGAGTCCAAGGCAGGTGGATCACTTGAGGCCAGAAGTTCGAGACCAGGATGGTTGATGAGGTGAAACCCTGTCTCTACTAAAAATGAAAAAGAAAAAAAGACAGAGACAGTAAGAATACTAACAGGAAGGTTGGTGAGATAAGCTACATTCTCCAGTGTTATGGTTAATCCTGACACCATACGTGATGCCATAATTAATATTCATCATTTCCCTTCCCTTGACCAAACTGCTTCTAATCAAGGTTCATTGCATAGTGCAATAACTCAGACATTTATCCCTGAGAGTATGAGTCCCTGACTTCTCGTCCTTATCAAGATGTTGCTGCTGCAACTGCCCTTTCAGATATCACCAGTGATGGAGGCATCAAGAGGCACCCCAGTGAATCCCATGAGTTCCAGACACACTACTTTCTGCTCCACTATCTAGTAGCAACCCCATTTCCTTTTGATCATTATGGTGAATGACCCTTGTCTGTATAGTAACTACCTTCTCTAACTGCTGGTTTATAGGCCTGAGGAGCCAAAATTAATCAGACAGCAGCTGAAGCTGTAGATTTATTGGAACCCTTACTATGTCTTCTGGTAGAAGTATTAAGACCTCCAATTATGGAAAACCTGAAGTTCTGGCAAGGAGAAACTCATTTTCTTAAGTAGATTATTAAAAGTAACAGGGAGAGGCTATACTCTTATTTCCATCTTTTGGTCCTAGATGTCTAAGACACAGAACCAAATATGCCAGCACCATTTAATAGTCTACCACTTAATGACCCTTAAATATGAAGGAAGCCAGTCCCATAAAAACAGAGCAACATCTCTATAATCTCAAGCCTGGTCAATAGAGAACAATCACTACTGAGTTTCTCATTGATGCAGGTATCCCTCTTTTGGGAACACTTCTTGCTTTAGTAAAGTGATTGTCTTCTAGGCTCTCCTGGAGAACACAATGAGCTGGCAGATTCTCCGGCCTTTCAAAATAAGTACACTCTAACATTCCCACTTCTATGAGACCCTGGATCTCTTCTCCAGTATTTTGCCAATGTAGTTCTGGCATGTCCACATCATTTATTTCAGGCCAGAATCATTTATAAGCTTCAAGGAGCCAAGCCATTCCAATAGCATATTAGAATCAATGCCAGGTAGACTTGTCAGAATGTTAAAAATTAACTCATGAAAGTATTTCCTCATATAAGTAGAGTATCTATTATCCGGCCTTATCGCCATGATCCAATATTTCAGTATATCAAGACCAATTCATGGATTGTTCTCTACATTACTACTAATATTTACTAGCCAGATTCTGTAGTTCATTTGATAAATAATCCATTTCATCCTGCAACACAGATCATCCTTTTCCACTCAGATCATGCTGAGACTTGGCCCTAGTTATTTGTCTAGAAGCAATGAGGAGAAATGGGGGCAGAACTTGATATGGGCAAGCCTCACCTTAAAACTTCCTACTGAGGCAGGGCTTTTATGTAGCAATTAACTGTTCTCCCACTGGAAAGAGTAGAAGGCCTCTTTTTCTAGGTCAGAGTTTCCAAAGAATTTGGGGATTCAAGACTCTTAAGGATATGTACCCACATATCTCATCCTCTATCTCAGGATCCTGCAGAGTTGTAAGAGGCCAAGCTGACAGAGCTACCACGTTTCCTCCACTAAAGTCAAGACCCTTACAGGAAAATAGCAGGATCCTGATAAACCTCGTCTCTATTAAAAATACAAAAATTAGCTGGGCGTGGTGGCACATGCCTGTAGTCCCAGCTACTCAGGAGGCTGAGGCAGGAGAATCGCTTGAACCCAGGAGGTGGAAGTTGCAGTGAGCTGAGATCGCGCCACTGCACTCCAGCCTGGTGACATAGCAAGACTCCGTCTCAACAACAACAACAACAACAAAATATATATATATATATATGTATATACGACTCCTGTGAGTGTATTACAAATATTAATATGAAATAATGACATTAAAAAATAATAGCTACCTGCACGTGTCAGCACCACAACCACTGTGTAAACCAAGGTGTCACAATGCATATTTTATTGTTTCTTTTTATGTTGATTGATCTGGCACCTTTCTTAATCAGAATCTATGAGGACATATTCCTCTGATTAACTAAAAATATGTATATGCACTGTACACTCTGTAGCCTAAATGTCAATATGAACAGTAAATGCAGATGGCATAGACTCATCCCAGTTTTAATAGTGTCCAGCAGTTTCTTTAAGCATACATTTCTCATCTCCTCCTTGAAATAAAATTTTAGAAATGGATCTTGAGAACCCTGTTTACTTTGTCCGAAAAAAAAAAAAATCCCTTCACAACACTAAGAAACTTAAAGCACTTTCATAAATAGGGAAACAGCATCTTTTAATGTTTTATTGTTCACTTGCAAAAATATATATAATATATATTACATGTATAGCATGTATAGAGGAGCCCCACAGCTTGAGTCAGAGAAAGCTAACAGAAAGGCACATATGGAGGCATGTCTTTTCATACAATATTCAGTTAAGCCAACATTCAGGCCATGGCAAGTGACAGTTAGGACAAGGACAATATAGCACACCTGTGTTCACGATTCCAAAGAGCTAACTCAGAGGCAACTCTTAGGTCTGCCGAGAATGGAGGTCATCTTGGGAGAAAATATCACATCTACTTAATAGGCCTGTCAGGCCATCAGAGAATATACTGAAATCTGGAAAAAGACACCAGGGCAAGGTGAAAGCCAGTCCTTGACTTGACAGCTAGTTTGTTCTTCTCCCCTTTTATTTTAAGACTTGAGGCCTTTGCTGATTAAAAGAAGCAAATAACAGTGCCGACTGTGGCCCTGCAGGATTTTGGTCAGCTACATGACAGAAGTTTGTAACAGACTAAATATTTTCAAAAGTTTGTAAACACTGTGATGATGGTGAGGAAAGCATAGAAAGAACATTTGCTATTTCTCTCTCACTGAAAAAACAGAGGCATAGATCTTTGGCTTGCCACATGTGGTATCTCTATCCTGACGTTTACCCAAAATGGTAAAAATAGAGGCACAATTTGTGGAACAATGAGGTCATTCCTACCAGACACCAGCAAAGGTGCCTACTAGGATTTGGCACAGCCAGAGCAGCTGGCAACCTTGGTTGATGTGAGATGGGGCTTCACGACGTCCGGCTCAATAGACTCCATTAGGTCACACTCATTTGCAAGTATGTGTTTCACCAGGCATCTGGAGGCTTCATCAATGTTTATATTTTCCTATGAGGGAAAAAATAAAACAGCTTTTCTTATTCAATACTCTGAAATAATGCTAGAGCAGAGACTTATATGTGACAATTCATTTAAATATTCCTTCCTATATGCTACATATGCATCCCCCTCCTGTTTCCCTCACTCTTATTTGTTCCTTCAAAGAACTTTACTGTTTGGTTCCTCAAAAAAGAAGTATTTATTTTGCTATGTCATATAGGAGGAATGGTGTCTGGTAAATGTACTTAGTAGGTTAAATTTCAGTTAGAGGGCAATTTTCTTATTTTCACATTTTCACATACTCAAACTATAAAAATATTGTAGAAGAAACATAAACCTTTAATCTGACTTAGATTTATAATTGCCCTCTGCCACATACTATTTTTGTGACCTTGATATAAAATAAGAATGATAAGACATCTTTTATAGTATGCATTAATGGTTTCACAGATATTTCTGGGTCTCTATATTCTAGTGAAATGGGGAAGAGTACACTGTTCTGACCTCTTTGAACTTAGCCATGGACATGTGACTTGTTGGGCGTCAAAATGTGAGAAGTAATGTGTGTCACTTTCATATAGGAGCAATAAGAGCCAGTGCTCAGTTTCCTGTTTTTTCTGTTTCTCCCTGTGGAAGCACAGCAATGGAAACTCTTTTGGATAAGGTCTGTGAGTGAGAATCAAGTAGAGGCAAGTATCCCAATCAGCCCATGCTATGTAGTGTGCATGAGAATGATGATCTTTGCTATTTTAACCCACTGAGATTTGAGGTTATTACCCCAAATAAACCCTGGCATTATCTAGACATTCCAGATGGATATAACTCCTCAAGGAAAAAAGTAAAACTGGAAATATAAGTTTAGGTTCAAAAATGAAATAAACTTGAATTTGGAAAAAATATGGAGCAAACATTTGAATCTAAAATATGTCAGTAGTATAAGTTAAACTGCTTTTTTTGTTCCTGCTGGTCAGAAACCTAAGACATATAGAAAATATACTACCAGTGTACTAAAATAAATATCTTTGATTAGGTAAAAAGTAGTTAAAGATCTGCAATAAAGTTAAATTTGATTGTTTTTAATCACAATTTGTAGAACTTCTTTGATGTATTTCTTCATACTTAAAGAGACAAGGCTTTCTCGTTGTTAAAATGTTTTACTACAGAACCTTGTTGTCCAATCTGAAGTGGAAATACTTATCCCTGATTTTTGCATGTATGTCAAAGTTGTTGATATATTTTGAGATCATTGAATGGAGTCATATTACTTGGAAAATATAAGAAGTACTGTTGGCTTCCAAATGGCATCCATGACTAATGACCTTAGTTGTAAATGTTTATTAGCAGGTTCTCCATCCTTCAAGCCTGAAACTGAGTTCACCAGCTATGAAAGCTTAAGGTAACTTTGGAGTTCCAGACAAGTATAGCCTAATTATTTATCTCCTCTCTAGAGAGCCTTAAAGAAAATGTTTCCCAGGCTTTCTAAATCCAAAACACAAGGTAAAAGTGTGATTGCTTTTTTGCTTATTATATTATTGTTGTTGCTTTTTACCAGACCAGTCTTCCTTTCTCTAAGCCTCCCTTTCCCCAGCTATAAAATGGTCTTGATGATAACACTTACCTAATAAAAATTTGCTTCCCTTGACAGAGTGCAGCAGACATTATTGCTTTCACAATGTGAACTTGCTAGGGACTTCAATAGTAAGTAAGTAATCTTATTTAATCCCATTTAACACCCTTTAAGATAAAGATTATGTTTTTTGTCCATATGGATTTTGTTATTATTGTTGGGGTAAGGGTGGGGATGGCATTTCTTCCTTCAGCTCAAGTATCTTCCTCACTCTATGGAATCCAGTCCTGAGAGAACAGCAATGCTTCTGCCCCATCCCCTGTTGGGCAACTTCCTGTGCCTTAAAGTCATTGCCTGTGCTTAGCATGTCTTCTGCCACTCTTCCTCTTCTTAGTGTCACGTCTAAGGGTCACACCTGAACTCCCTGCTCCCAGGCAACCAACTGACCTAGGCAGGGCCTTGCTTTTTGGAACGGACCCAGCTCAACACTTTGTTCCGGAGCCCTGCCACTTGCTATGTGACTGAGTGGAAGCCTGTCCGATGGTCCCCTACTGTGTCCCATTCAGGAAGGTAAAAAGGGGTCTCCTCGCCCAGACTTCCACTTAAGAGCCATCACATCTCATTAAAGAAGCCCTATTTGAATGGTTTTAACGTACTTGCCTGGCCATTAATAAGCCAATACTTTGATTCCCATTTGGCTATTGTTTGTGTGTTGGAGAAGGAGGCAACAAAATTATACCCCAAATACCAAACATGAGATATTACTACATATGTTTACAGACAAGAAAGCTTATCTGTAAGGGGTTAAAAGGCTTCCCCAGAATCACACAGCAAGTGGGCTGGGAGGCCAGAGCTTACACTGGGTCTTTCTGACATCAAAGCCTGGCTTTTGCTAAGCTGCATTCCTTTTCCAGATTGTTCAGAAAACCAGGAACAATCACAAATAAAAGTTAGTTCTTCAGTGTTAGACCCAGTTAGTGTTAAATAATGCTAGTTTATTTATCTTCCATATATTATAATAAAAACATGTTTATATGACAGGAAAACAATTTTAAACATTAGAAAGGGCCTTTCTTCGTATATGATAAAAATTAGATAAAAGTTAGTATTTTTTAAACCTCCACTCATATATTAACTGCCAGTTAAACAGGTTTTCCTTCATCATAACGTGCAAATTGACAAAATCTACTAATGAGGAGAATTCAATGCGTGTGGGAAAATCAATGAAAATCCATTATCATTATGAGAAAAAGAACTGAAACCTAAGCTCAAATTAGTGGCAACCTAGCAGGGTCATTTTAGTGAAAATATAAGATAACACTGTTTAAATTGTTTGCGAGTTTTAACACACCAAGTAAAGTCTAGATGGTATTAGGCCTAGGAGAGCGGACCATGAAGGATGGGCTCTAGAGAAAGGAAACAGGCAGAGCCAAGGAATGACTGCTTATAGACTACATGTACAAAGAGTAGCAGTTCATGGTGACTGAGTCAGGTTCATTCACCCAATTAATAGTATTTAGATTTCCACTAAGTACTAGGCATACCAATATACAGATGATACATCTCATTCCTGACTGAGCTTACCTACTAGCAGGGTTTGTGTAAATAGCAAAAGCATAAAAAGGTTGGAAAGGGCATCAGGGTGCCAGATCTCTGTAGAGCCTTGAATACTAAATTTGTCAAGTAGAGCCATTGAGGGTTTTTTTCAGGTAAAATGTCAGTAACCACAGTACTATAAAAGTCCATTACTAGACAAGCCTGTACAGATCCTTAGCACTTTAACAGCTGACCTATCAGTAACTATTTAGTGAATACCTAATACATGTGTACCAAGGTGCTGATTGTCATGGTATACATATTTCAGATTAGAAATTTTAAGAGAAAGCCAGGAAGAACTGAAAATGCTTTTGACTATATTTACCACAGGCACGCTACAAAAAGGCAAGGGGTATAGTCTTTAGAGTACAGGCCTGGAGACAAACCCTTATCTTAGTTCCCCTACTTTCTGGTTGCATGACCTCAGAAAAATTACTTTAACCACTTCATGCTTCAGTTTCCTCATCTGTAAAAGAGA